>NC_000014.9:74460197-74611713 GCF_000001405.40 Homo sapiens | reverse complement strand
CCTGTCGCGGGCTTGCAGCCCGTGGAGCGGGCCCAGCCGGGCTGGGGGAGCCCCAGGAGGCCCACCGAGGCGGAGGCCAGGAGGCCGTCCCGCGCGCAGCAGTCGCGGCGTGTCCAGCCACCTGCGCAGACCCGGAGAAGCACTCCCCTGGGCCAGCAGCAACCAGCACCCCGGACCCGGGCCGCGCCGGCTCTCCCACGCCTGGGGACCCCACAGCGGTCTGGGGCTGCGCCCCCAACCCCGCCGCGAGGGCGGCTCACGGGGTGAGCATGGGAGAGGGAAGTTTGGAGGGTACAGAGGGGAGCCAGGGCTCATTTGTGGAGGGGCGTGCAGGCGAGAGGAGAGGGCGCCGCTCTCATACCCTCGTCCCTCTGTCTTTAGTACTTCGGGAAACAGCCCCGAGGTTCCAAAATCGGGATTGGAAGATTTGATCCGCTTTCGAAGAGTTGAAGGCAGATAGATCATCATCCTCATCCTTTCTTACCAACTCTCCCGGAGCCCCGACGTTAAATCCTTTCGCAAGGCGCCTCTCCACTCGCCCGCGTTCCTCCTGCCTGCAACTAACGAGCTCTTGTAGACTCTTGCAGCGCTGCCGGGATCTGAGAGGCAGCGGGGAGAGGGCAGGAGGGTGGGCGCTCCAGGCTCTTGACGCCCAGGGGAGGTTGAGCTGGCTCAGAGCGCGGGTTGGCGGAGGTGTCGGGGGCCCCATGGAGAGAAGGTAGATGCGTCTCCAGGAGGGGAGCCGGCAGCGAAGCTGGTGCGTCGGGACAAGTGTCGTGGGGCGTGGGTCGGCCTGCGCACGCTGAGGGCTGGATGCGGGCGTGGGCGTGAGCTCTGGGTACTTTGGGCGGGAAGCGTGTCCTGATGAGGCTGCGACACAGTGGGCGCGTGGAGAATTGGATCAGTGTGCTCTTGTGCATCTAGGTGTAAGCGTGACTTGGGCGCGTTGCAGGGCTAAGCCACCGCACAACCCTGCAATTTACTTTTTTGCTCCCCCTGGGCACCACCCCCTGCCCACCGCGGGCGCCGTCGCAGAGTGAGAAGATGCCCCAGTAATCCCCATCCCCAATCGGATCATCATGGCTGCGGGCACGCTCCGCCTTGCCTGGGTATGGCAGGTGCCTCTGGAATGGAGGGCACTGAGCCCTGGGCAGTGAGGGGCTGGGTGGGGGCACCATCGGGAAGTCTGGGAAGGGCTTTGGCAGCCTCTCTTTGCCTGGGCCCGATTTGCCAGTTGGGTTTAGTCCTGGGGAACAGCATGAAAGACACTTGTACCCCGAGTCCTACTCCAAGGACCTTGCACTTCGCAGCCTTGGCGCTCTGTTTTCCTTGGCGCTCTGTTTTCCTTGGCTGGAGCGCTCTTCTCATATTTCAGCAGGATTGAGCTCTGTCTCTTTCAGATTTCTGCTCAGAGTGACTTTTGGCCACCCGTGCCCCATCCTCTTTCTCCTTTCACCCTGCTTTATGTTTCTTCATAGTACTTATTCTATCTGATATGTTCTATTCCTATTTATGTGTTTATGGCCTGGCCTCCCAGCCCACACTAATGCAAGCTCTATGCAAACAGGGACTTCGTTGTGTCCATTTCTGTGTCTCTTGTGCCTAGAATAGTGCCTGCACTGGTTGGTATTCTCTAGGTATCTGTTGAATGAGTGGATGAACTCCCTGCTGCCCATGGAAGGCCCAGCTTCAAGCAGGCAGAGAGTAGACCCATGCACTGCCAAGTCGCTTACACATAGGATCATTCAACAAGTCTTAGTGGAAAGCACCTGCTGTGTTTCAGCGTTTTCCTTTCCTGATCTGTGCAAGTGAATGCATGCTTCCAAGGATCCTGCGTGCAGAGCATGGGAAAGGGGATGGAGGCCCAGAGTCCAAGGCATTGTTCCTGCTGGGAGAGCAACCCAATTACTTAATATCACGTTGAAGAAATGAACAGATGCTTTCTAGTACTGGAAGGTTCCTGTTAAGTGCAAAGGAGTGGGGCAACTGTAGCTGAAGAGCTGAGTAGAGGGGACCTGTGACCTGGGGCCCCTGGGGCTCTGTGGGCAGCATGTGGGGAAGCAGAGGGGAGGTGGCAGGAGGGGGGCCTGGAGGTGAGGGTGGTGTGCAGATGTAGCACTGCCCAAGGACAAGGGCTTTTTACTGTTGGCACTGGCCCAGGGGTAGCACTGCAGCTTTGGTGTAGGGGAACCTAGAGACATAGCTTGGGCTGGAGCAGGGAGGAGCTTGTACTGCAGGCATTTAGGTGCAGGTGAGGTGCGGGGGAAGGTGGGGAAGTGGAGCGTGGGGGCTGGAGGGTGCACTATTAGAAGTCATGAAATAAAGCGAATTGTCACTACAACAAAGCTGGTGGATGTGAACAGGCATGTGAAGACATGGGCTGGGTGCCACCTGCTGTACACAGGTGCACACATCACATGACACACTGGTCAGGCTCCTCCCCCACATTGTCTTCTGCAGCTTTGATAAAGAGTGGGTTCCCTGACACTCCAGTCAGCCACTCCATGTCAGCTGGGGAGGACCTGAGGGGTCATCTTGTTTATTCTCTTCCTCCACCCTGGTCCATTCTGGCTAATGGCTTCTAGTCAGGCTGATCAGGTTGGCCATTCATTGCCTTGTGAGCTGCAGACAGCCAGGGACCAAGTGCCACCTCCTGGTGAATCTTGGAACTGCACCACTGCTACTGGAGCTTCTTCATTCATTCGACAAATATTTTGGAAGAACTTCTATACCCAGGCCCTATACTGGATCTTGAGGATATAGCAGTGACCAAGACAGGCATACTCTGTCCTCATGGAACTTTCAATGTAGAAAAGATTTATTGCACATAATAAAGACTTATTAAGTTTGTGCCAGGCTTGATGCTAGGTATTTGGGATACAGCAGTGACCAGAGTGGACACCGTCCCTACGCTAATGAAATTTACAGTCTACAGGGTTTCTTTTTCATTTCTTTTCTTTTCTTTATTCTTTCTTTCTTTTTTTCTTTTTTTTTTTTTCTTTTTTTTGAGATAGAGTCTCTTGCCCTGTCACTCAGGCTGGAGTGACATTATTTCGGTTCACTACAACCTCCACCCCCGAGGCTCAAGCAATTCTCGTGCCTCAGCCTCCCTAGTAACTGGGATTATGGGCGCACGTCACCACACCCGGCTAATTTTTTGTATTTTTAGTAGAGATGGGGTTTCGCCATGTTGGCCAGGCTGGTCTCAAACTCCTGAGCTTAAGCACTACACCCACCTTGGCCTCCCAAAGTGCTGGGATTACAGGTGTGAGCCACCACGCCTGGCCTCTATAGGGTTTTTTGAACCAGCCTCACAGCAGACCACCTGTATAATATTTTTCTCTACCTTTCCCTCTTGTTCTGTTATTATTTTTCTTTAACTTTATATTCTGTTAAAATAACAGGATTTTGTGTTTTATCTGTTTTAAAGTATATTATGAAGTTTTATAAATGCACTAAAAGGTATTGAAAATAATATAACATAGTCTAGTTTTGGCCGGGCGCGGTGGCTCATGCCTGTAATCCCAGCACTTTGGGAGGCTGAGGCGGGTGGATCATGAGGTCAGGAGATCGAGACCATCCTGGCTAACAAGGTGAAACCCCGTCTCTACTAAAAATACAAAAAATTAGCCGGGCGCGGTGGCGGGCGCCTGTAGTCCCAGCTACTCGGGAGGCTGAGGCAGGAGAATGGCGTGAACCCGGGAAGCGGAGCTTGCAGTGAGCCGAGATTGCGCCACTGCAGTCCGCAGTCCGGCCTGGGCGACAGAGCGAGACTCCGTCTCAAAAAAAAAAAAAAAAACATAGTCTAGTTTTATCAAACCTTAATATTTTGACATATTTTGATTCCAGTTTTTTAGTTGAAATTTCCTCTATAAATTTGCCTCCTTCCCTCCCCAGAGTTAACCACTACCCTGAATTTAATTAATTCCAATAGATGTTTTTACAATATTACTATAGATACATGTATCCACAAAATATACAATGTTGTTTTGCATATTTTAAACTTAGATAAGTGAGACCCTATTTCATTATTCTTCTGCAATTTGTTTTTCCCCTCCTCATTAGATTTTTGAGATTTAACCATGTTAATATAATTAGCCCAAGTTTATTCATTTTAACTGTTGTATATTATTCCTTTGTCTGAATATTACCACAGTTTATCCATCCTCCTGTTTTTGGACATTTAGATGAATTACTTTTTCTAAAAGTAATTTTCTAAAAATTCTACTGAATTTTTTTGCTATTACAGACAGTGCTTGACTCATTTTTCTCCATAAATAAATTCATAACTGAAAGGAAACTTTGTATCATTATCATAAGTTGAAAGCAGTACCACTTGTTATAAAGAGAAGATAACTGTAGGAAAATTGAAATGAAAACAAAATGTTCTTAAGTTCTAGTCAGACTTCATTCATTGTCTTAGGAAGCTCAACTCTGTGGCAAGTTCCCTCTATTGGAAGGGGGACTAGCGTGTGTTGAGGGGAGGACGTGGCCTTTTTCACTGACATCATTAGGTTAGAAGGATCACCAAAAAGAGAATCACTTTCTCACCATGTAACTCAGATTGTTGAATGTTGTGATCTGTAAACTTAAAATGCCTTTCCTACCCTCAGTGGCTCATCCCACTTTTTGTGAAACTCCAGATTAAATGAAACAAGTATCAATTGTATACCACATGTTGGGCACTGTGTTAGACTGTAGAGGCACAAGGAGAAATAAGAAAGAAACCTCTAGATACCCAAGACTGAGATACAACCAATGACCTGAGACAGGCAGTACTAAGTGATCACAGCAGATGCAGATGGAGAATGAGGGAAGGCTGGGTAGATGTCAGAGGAGGTGGGTTTTTTTTTTTTGTTTGTTTTGTTTTTTGAGATGGAGTCTTGCTCTGTCGCCAAACTGTAGTGCAGTGGCACAATCTCTGCTCACTGCAGCCTCCGCCTCCTGGGTTCAAGCAATTCTTCTGCCTCAACCTCCCGAGTGAGTAGCTGGGACTACAGGTGCTTACCACCATGCCCAGCTAATTTTTAGTAGAGACGGGGTTTCACTGTGTTGGCCAGGATGGTCTCAATTTCCTGACCTTGTGATCTGCCCACCTCAGACTCCTAAAGTGCTGGGATTACAGGTGTGAGCCACCTTGCCTGGCCCAGGGGAGGTTTTATACAAAGAAGGTAATATCTGATCTGGAAGTCTTGGAGTATGCAAAGGATTTTAATCAGTAGACCAGAGAGGAAAGGCATTCTAGGCAGAGAGAGCAGCCCAGGCAAAGGCATCGAAGTGAAATCCATAGGGTAACTGGGGAGCAACAAACCTTGTATCCTTGGAGGAGCAAAGCCTTGGCTGTGGATGGTTGTGGAGACAAGGTGGGGGTGATGGGGACAATTAGACTGCACAGGAAAGTAGGCACATGGGTGCCAGGGGGCCTTGTAGAGGCCAGTGGAGAGCTGTGGGAGGTTTTTAACAAAGGGCTAGTGTGATCAGATTTGGCCCAGGTGGAATAGCAGCTCTCCCAGACTGCTAGCCAGATGTGTTCCCTACAGTGATGCTGGATACTGGGCTAATGTGTGCTGAGTGGTGTCAACTGGAAGACTGGACTCAGATGATCTCTGAGAGGTACCTTCTAGGGAGTCAGAGTGATTGAATTATATATCCCAGCTGTTCAGGCTCATTTGCTCTCTCTGCTAGCCAGAGCCCACTGAACTGACAATTCCCAGAATTCCCAGCTGGTTACCTCCCTGGGCCTGCACCCAAAACTTTAATATTGGCCTGTAGGGATCCTTAGAGACTCTCCTTGGGGACCTGAATCTCTCTTGAGTGCCCTACCAGCCCCAGCCTGGCCTCTCTGCCTGGCAGCCTTTGATTCTGGCCAATCCTCACGTGGCCTTACATCCCTTAGGGCCTACTCTGTGCAGGCAAAGCAAGGTTGGCCCCTGCCCTCCCACAGTCAGCTGCAAAGCCATCCTGAGGGCAGCTGGGGTGACGGCTGGCTCAGGGGGCCTCCTTGGGCTGGGCTCCATGCCATGACCTCCCAGCCAGGCAGGCTCCTGCGTCCGTGCTGTCTGGGTTCCCACAGGCCCTAATTCTTAGAAAATTCCCAGGGCACAGAATCTGTTTCCTCTCAGAGCCCTCCTAGCCCCACGAGAGGTCTTGTCACCACCACAAGGGGTGGTGACATAAAAGTGGGTACGTAGTTTCCCCTTCCACTGGGGCGCACCCCCGGAAACTCTGGGTCTGACAAGCAGCCCTTTCCCTGACCCCCGTGACATGGGCCCTGATGCAGCCAGGAAGCTGCTAACGGTGGTCGCCCAGAGAGGCTTTGAGGTGGCCCAAGTGGCACAACTCTTGGCTGGTGGGACATTCTGGGAGCTCCCTGGGAGGGAGGCAGTGCCCACAACTTTGGGCCAAAGGGCCAGGAATGGGCCTCCGCTTTTTCAAGCTGCAGGAATTTATTTTGAATTCTTCGTAAGACTCCAAAAACCACATAAGCTTTGGGGTCCACTCAAATGTCAAACAAACTCCTAAGTGGGACCAGATGTCGCCATGCTGGCCACAGAGATCACAGGAGTGGCCGCCCTGCTCTGTCCTTTGCCTGTCCAGCCTCTGCACTTCTCCCTCCCCTCTTACCCTCTAGTTCCAGTGCCCGGTGATGATTTCCAATGATAAGGATGGAAGCCAGAGCCCGGCCCAGCCTGCCAAGGAGTCAGTCCCTAGAGATCTCCAGGAGAAGCCCTTCTAGGGAGACGCCCTGGTCTAGGCATGTGGGTCTTTAGCTGCAGAGTCAGGGCCGGGTGGAAACTGCTGGTGCTGCTGGAGTGCGCCAGACACCCGGAAGCAAAGTTTGGGGAGCTGAGTGAATGCCCCAGCACTGTAGGTCAGCGTCTCATGGGGGTGCCCTCAGAGCCAACATCAAGGAGTAGCTGAAGGGCTGGGCGCAGTGGCTCACACCTATAATCCCAGCACTTTGGGAGGCCGAGGTGGGTGGATCACCTAAGCTCAGGAGTTTGAGACCACCCTGGCCAACATGGTGAAACCCCATCTCTATTAAGAATATTTTTAAAATTAGCCAGGCATGGTGGCAGGACTGAGGTTGCCATGAGCCGAGATCACGACATTGCACTCCAGCCTGGGCGATATAGTGAGACTCAAAAAAAAAAAAAAAGGAGTAGTTGATGGAAGAACTCTATTTCGCTATAGAGTAAGTCCTGTTTGCCTCTCAAATAAAAATTGTGCCTCCACATAAAAATTGTGCAGAGGCAGCTTAACCCACATCCCCAGCCCCATCCTCCTACCAGCTTGCCACCTTGTAAGCACCTCTTAACCAGGGATTCTAGAGCCCTGTTCCTTCAGTGCCCACTCAGGGCTCAGCCTTCCCACGCACCAGACTGCCGGGGGCTGAGACTCCTCAGTGTGCATTCGTTGGCAGGTAACACCTCGTATGACCTTGAGACTGTTTTATGTGTGTCTTCCAGCCTCCCTTGGATCGTCAGCATTGGTAGGGCAACGACCATGGTGTTTTTTTGTGTGTGTGGTTTTTTTTTTTTTTTTTTTTGGTGAGAGGCAATGTAGAGTTGGAGCATGGCTTAGAGTTGGGCCAACCCAGGTTTGAATCAGGCTCTGGCACTTACCTGCTGTGTGGAATTGGCAAGTCACTGAACCTCTCTGAAGTGGCTTATTAGCTTTAGGATCACTGTCATTGTTGCCCCAGTGGACTGCCTTCTTTATGTCAGATGTTAAACATTCTCACCTCATTTAACCATCATAACAACTCAATTAAGCAGCTATTGTTATCTCCATTGTACAGATGGAGAGAGTGAGGTTTCCCAGGGATGTGCAGAGAATGGCAGAGTCAGGATTCAATCTTAGATTTGCAAGTAGAATAGGGACAGCCTTCCCAGCCTCTCCATGTTCCTCCAGGCCCTGCCTCTAGAAGGTGGGACTGTCGGAGGGGCTGTGAATAGTCCCCAGCTCTGAGCATCCTTGTGTTGACTCTGTTTTGGTGACCCCACAGGAGGAACGTCTGCGGGGGACAGTGCTGCCCAGGATGGACAACAGCAAACAGCACCAACCACTGTATCAAACGTGAGTGCCTCCACCAGTAGCAGACACTCCGCTCTATCAAACGTGAAGTGCCATTCCCCACCCTACTCCCAGGGCAGGTCAAGCTTAGGTACTCCAGAACCTGGAGCAGAAGCGTCTTTCCTAGTCTGCGTCCTGAAGATGCAGCCCCTATTTAAAGTGGAGGCAACATCCAATGGAAGGGAAGAGGTTTAAAAATGCCTCTAGCTGGGGCCGGGAGCGGTGGCTCATGCCTGTAATCCCAGCACTTTGGGAGGCCAAGGTGGGTGGATCACTTGAGGTCGAGAGTTGGAGACCAGCCTGGTCAAGATGGTGAAACCCTGTCTCTTCTAAAAACACAAAATTAGCCAGGCGTGCTGATGGGTGCCTGTAATCCCAGCTACTCGGGAGGCTGAGGTAGGAGAATCACTTGAACCTGGGAGGCAGAGTTTGCAGTGAGCCAAGATCACACCACTGCACTCCAGACTGGGCGACAGAGCGAGACTCCTTCTCAAAAAGAAAAAAAAATGCCTCCAGCTGGACACAGCTTCTCAAATCAAATCACTGCTTGTGTTTTCAAAGCTTCCTGCACTCCCTCCTGCTGTCCTACTGTGTTGGCCCCACTCACACTGCCGGCAGGGTCTCAGGAGACTGCATGCACCTATGTTCTGCAGAACATGCCTGGCCCAGAGCCTCCGCATCCCACATTTCCAAGGGCACCATTCATGTAGCATGTGATGAGAATCCACCTCTGCCCTGGCCCCTGGCCCAATGGCCCTGGCCTCTGTTAGCCACTCTACCAGGATGGTCAGATGACACTGTGACCCATGCCTGGAGCCGTCTCCCCTTGGACTGCTCTGATGCCTGGCAGGCTGGCTCGAAGGAGAGAAAAGCCATCTTATTTTGTGGAAACCAAGGAGTGAGTTAGGAAGAGCTAGAGCCTTCACACCTGAGCCTCTTCCACTGATGGTATCAGGAGCATTAACAACAACAAGAGCCAGTACCTTCATAGCACTCACTTTGTGCAGGGTGCACTTTAAACATCCTCTGTGGCGGGTGGATGAGGAACGTGAAGCACAATCAGGTAACTTGTCCAAGGTCATGTAGTCAGGAAGTGCAGAGCTAGGATTTGAATCCAGACAACCTGACACCAGGGTCCCTCTTCTTAATACCTGTACCCTGCTGCCAGGTATCTTACCTTCATTTCTGGGCCTCACTTTCTGCATCTGTGAACTGGAGGTGATGGTACTATTGCTGTCACTGCTGCTGCTACTGCTACTATTAGCTAACAACTGAGTATGTACTAGTGCCCCACACTGCGCTAAGCTCTTCACATGCATTATCTTAGTTCGACCTGTCAATCATCTTATGAAGTAGGTGTATGCTTATCATCGTGGCTTACAGATAAGGAAGCTGAAGCTCGGGTTGCTTGGGAAACACGGCCAAGCTCTGCTGCTGCAAGTGCTGAGCTCGGGCTGGACCCAGGCAGACTGACTCCAGAACTCCAGGCTCCGATCTCCTGGGCTTCGTTCACTCCCGACACCAGCGAGGCCTGGATATTCCAGAGTGTGGAATCCCCACAGACCATAGCAGATATGGGAGTCTGAGGGAGCCCGTTGGATCTTTCTCCTTCCTCCCACAGGCCCCTCTTGGGTCCACATCAGCTCCCCAGGAACTCCACCTGACTATCCTTCAGGTGACTGCCCCTGCCTCTGCCAGTCCCAAGCCTGGCTGCAAAGCCTCAGTCTCAACAGCTCCCTTCCTTCAAGGACCAGCCCCAGGCCCTTCTCGGTAGGAGGGCTTCACAGCTAATAGTCCAGGTGTGTGAAAAAACGTATGATGTTCCCAGCATGATGGATGCCTTCATCTGGGAACATCATACGTTATTCTATGATAACGTATGATAACGTGGTTGTCCTAACACCCCACTTGATGGGATGCGATGCGATTGCTCCCATTCCCGCGAGTCTGGAGATATGGGTTCACCAAGCTCTTGGCTTCTGCCTCAGGCCTCGTGGCCCTGACCCTCTGCCTGTTTGAAGATGCAGCTCAGGCAGAATTTTGGGTCCCTCCTAGGACCTCCAAATAACAGAACCAGAGCCAAAAACTCAAAAACAAACAACGAAGCAGATCTGCTTAAACACCCTTTCCTTTTCAGGGAACGTGGATGCCTGGGGGCGGCTCAGAGGTCAGGCCCTCAGTGGTCAGGGGCACCGGTGGGGAGAAACACTTGTCCCTCATTATTTATTTTTATTTAATTAATTAATTAATTTTTTGTAGAGACAAGGTTTTATCATGTTGGCTAGGCTGGTCTCGAACTCCTGGCCTCAAGTGATCCTCCCACCTCACCCTGCCAAAGTGCTGGGCTTACAGGTGTGAGCCACCACGCCCAGCCCCTCATAATTTTAAAGAAGAAAGTGAGCCTCAGAGAGGCGGTGACTTGCTCAAGGCCACACACCTTATTGGAAAAGAACCTGAGACTCAAAATCAGCTCTGAGCAACTCCTCTGGGTAGAGAAGCCAGGGATGTGGGCGGCCAGGTGGCTTTATGCTAAGCAGAGGCTCTGGGGCTGGGGCCTGGCACTGTAATTTTTTTAACAGCATCCCAGGTGATTCTAGGTGTGGTCAAAAATCACTGAGCAGAGTTGGGGGTCAGTCATAGGAAGATCTGCCTTGGGGGCCCTCCTCAAACTTGAATGTTCCCCCAACCCTCTAGGAATCACATCAAAGAGAAGATTCTGATTCAGCAGATCTGGGGTGGGGCGGATATTCTATGTTCTAACCAGCTCCCAGGAACGCTGACGCTGCTGGCCCAGGGACCACACTTTGAGTAGCAGGGCCTTCCAGGACTCAGGAGGCCTGGGCAGGAGGGACTGGGACTTGGAGGTGAGGAAGAGGGTTGGTATGTTTGAGAGAGCTTAGCCTTTGTTGGGAGGTTGGGAGGCAGCGTTGGCTGATGGAGAATGTTGCTGAGGTTTGAGCTGAAGCTGCAGCGGGTGGCTTCATAGGGGGTGGGCCTTTCCCCAGCTGCCCCAGGGGTCTGGGCATAGGTCTCACTTGGGCCCTCCAGCCCTGGAGGTTCTCGGTTTCCTAACTTGCTAGTGATGTTCCAGTGTTATTCTCTGCCAAACTGGAGTTTCAACCCTAGAAACTCAAGGTTGAGTGAGTTTGCATACTGTTACAGTACCAGTGCATGTGTGTGGGGGCATCCTTGTGCCCCAGTGGGTGCTGCGCCAGGATGCTGAGGTAGGATGCTGCCATACCTTCTCCCCTGGTATTTCTCTCCCTGGCCGTCTCACCCTGCTGCCCCCGGTCACCCACCCTGACCCAGGCATACAGGCCAGCTGCTCTCCTGAAGGGAGTTGCCAGTGGGCAACAGCCCCTCCCACTTGAAGTTGGCTCGCCCGTGGCAGGGCTGTGTGCTCATTAACTGGTCCCTGTGCTGTTTGCTTGTTGCTATTTGGCTGCTAATAAGCCTAATGAGAACCCACGCAGGCGGGCGGTGGGGTGTTGGCACTGGATGGCTTCATCCAGAGCTCCGCAGAAGGTGGGGCTCTTGGCTCCACACCCCGTCAGCTGGCTCTCCCCCACCCCTGTGGCTCCGCACCTCCCTCTCCCCTCCCAACAGCTGCCCTCCTGGCTGGGGCAGAGACTGCCAATGTTGGGGAATGTTCATGATTCTGTCCTAGCAGTTTCACACATGAAGGGATGCCTTCCTGGGCCAGTGAGAGATGGGGGCTGACATCCCCCACTGCCAAGAGTAAAGTCTAGTGCCAGAACCACAGGGAGACTCAGTCTCTCCCAGATATCTGTGGGCCCAACCCACTGCCCATGCTCAGGGAGTGCTGGCTCCTGCTCAGTTGCCCTCTCTTGCCTCTGGCAGAATCAATCCCAGGTCACTGTCACACACCAGTCCATCTCCCGGGCCTGCCCTCCTTCCGCCCTGTTCTGCAGGTGCCCATTGCTGGAAGCCCAGCCCCTCCTTCCACCTTGGCGGGGGCTAGAGCTGGGCCGCCATCTCCTCCTCCAGTCTTGGTATCTGCCTTTCCTTCTGTAGCTTTGCCAGCTCTCTCTCGGGACTTATGTGTTTATGTATTTGTGGAGGCAGCTGATTGCGGCCTGCCGGGCCCTGCCCAGCAGAGGGGAAGAACTGGAGGGTGTGGAGTGACAGTGTCCTGTTTATAGTTGCAGCTTTTGGAAGACTGTCCATTCTTCCCAGACTGGCTCCCGCCCAACCCCACCCCAACTGGGGAAGGGGATTTGAATACTCCCTAGACTTCTCATTTTATCTCAGCCTGGACGCACAGGGGCTGGGGCTGCTTTGGGGAGGACAGAAGAGAATCCCTGCAGCTGTCGAGGAGGGGGCAGGCAAGTTACTCTCCCACTCCTGCCCCCAGCAGCAAGGCTCGAGATTAAGAGCATGTACTTTGGATTCTGGCACCAGATCCCTGGAGACGTGTTTGAGTCCCAGCTCTGTGTCCTGGGGGAAGTGACTGGCCCTTTTCTAGCCACAGGGCCTCGTCCATAAAATGGGCATAACAATCTATATAGAGTTGGTTTTGGGGATGAATGATATGAACGCGATAGCTCTTACTGTGCACCAGGTACCATTCTAAGCACTTCATATTGTTCATTTTTAATCCTCACAACAGCCCTATAAGCTAGATTGGATTTTTTATCCCCATTTACAAATGAGGTCGGCTGTCTGTCCGAGTCATGCCTCTGAGACTCATCAGAGCCCAGACATGAATCCAGGTAGCCTGGTTCCAGAGTGCGAGGGCTTAGCTCTGTGCTTTCTGATAAATGAGTAAATGTGTGTAGACAGCCTGGCGCAGGCTAAGTTTAGCTGGTATTTTAATGCTAGATCAGGAGACCATGCTGGACTGCCTGGGTTTAAATGTCAGCTCTCAGCTCCACCACGTGGCTGAGGGGCTATGGGCAGGCTGCTTAAAGTCTTTGTGTCTCGGTTGCCTCTTCTGTAAACTGGGATCAACATTGGGCCCTGTCTCCCAGAGTTGTAAGGAACAAACACCGTCACTTAGGTCAGATGTTTAGCTCAAGGCCTGGCATGTGCGATGCACTCTATACATGTTTGGCCTTGATTTTGAGGGCAGGGACTGTGTCTCACCACCCTCAGCAGGCAGCACGCTGGGTACAAGGTAAAGGGTCCATAAGTGTATACTGAATAATACAGAGCCTATCCCGGCCGTGTGCCTGAGAGAGCCCTTTCTGTTGCCCAAGTTCTATCAGCCCTTCCAGAAACTCCCCACGGTGTTCAGGGGATCCTGGGGATGGTGACGCTGGAGTGGGCCTGAGCATTTCTCTGCGTGTATCACGTGGGCAATGGAATGGCATTTCCCCAAGTCCCCATCTCAGTCCTACGAGAACCCTGTCTCTCCTGATCTGAGCTCCTCCTTGGCTTCCTTGAGGGAGCCTGTTTGCCCCATTCATGACAACCACATCCCAAAGTGGAAGACTGTGGCAAGGTGGCTAAGAGCCCCAGCTTTGGAGTCAGGCTCCCTGAGTTCAAACCCTTGCTCCATCACTTACTAGCATGGTGATCTTGGGCAAGTTGTTGATGGTTCTGCCTCAGTTTCCCCATATGTCAGATGAGGATGAGAGTAGTACCCAGTGTAGTTATAAGAATGAGATGTTTATGTGAGGTAATACATGTAAAGCAGTGAGCGCAGCACCTCGCTGTGGGAAATGCTTAACAAGCCTTAGGAAAAGGAGTAAGGGCAAGGGTAGGATTTTCATCTTCACTGACTGGTTAGCACCCACCAGGAGCCAGGAACCAGGAGCCAGGAAAGTCTCATCTCCGGATGAACCAGCCAGTGGGGACTCTGAAGTTGGCAGGGAGTGGTGGAGAGGAAGGTGGGAGGTGGCGAAGGGTAATAATTATATGACCTCAGTGGAACCCAGCTGATATGTAGGGTGCACTCTCATCAAGAGACCCTGTCCATTTCTTACCCCTGCATGGGGGTACCCTTCCTGGGGAGATCTTCCTGGGGAGCAGGTTACCCTGAGGCTCTTTGTCCAACGAGGTGATTAGGAGATGTCCTTGACTGGGAGCTTCCTGAAGCCAGGTGCTGTGTCCTGCTGACACCAGTGGAGTGCCTGGCCCTCTCTCCACACCTGTGTCCTTTGTACATGCTTGGGACCTGTTTATCAAAGAGCTGAGTGGGGAAATGATGGCATGGGTGGCTGGCAGTTTCCTCCCTCCATCCCCAGCTGCCTCTTCTCAGTCTCCTTCACTGGCTTCTCCCTCTCTACCTGACGTCTTAATGTTGGGCTTCCCCAGGACTTTCCCCAGACCTTCCAAATCCCTCACCCCAAAGAGGGAGGCCATAGGAGCCAAGCGGAGCATGAACTGCCCCTGGGTATTGAGTGCCAGCAGGCACTGTGCCCGACAATTGACATGCAATACTAACAGTAATGCCCGGGGCTCACTCTGCCTGGATGTGCCAAATGCTGCCATCTTCCTTCAAACCCTCATGGTGTTCTCTGTCCTGGTCCCCTCCTGTGTCCCTGGCTGCTGCTTCTCCTCTGCTCACTACTAAACTGTGGGTTTCCCAGGACTTAGTCTGGGGTCTTCTATTTTGTTTTTGCATTGCTCCCGGAACAATCTGCTGCCTTCTCATGGATGTAAACATCATCTCCGGGCCAATGACGCCCAAATTCACATGAATCCTCTGCCAGGCCTCTTGTCTGACCTTCAGTCTTTCACATCTGCTGCCTGCTCAACATCTGCGCTTGATGTCTCCCAGACATCCTCATCCCAACTTGTCTAAAATGAACTCGTGACTTCCCTTCCTCTGAGCTAACTCCCCCGTGCAGGTCTTACTCACTCTGTTAACTGGCACCCCCATCGACTTGACTGCTCGAGCCAGCCACCCAGGGGCTACAGGGACACCTTCCTCTCACTCAGGCTTTGACATCAACCCATTACCAAGCCCTGTTTGTTTTACTTCCTCAGTCCCTCGTGGACCTGCCTGCTTCCCTGCTGCCTCTCTGGGCCAGGGCCCTGTCACAGCTCTCCTGGGTGATACCACAGCCTGCTGCCCGCTCTCCCTGCCGCCCTCAACACATCCCACCTGAAACTTCCTGCAGCGGCATCTCCACACTCACCCAGCTCCCTGAGTGCAGCCTGGGCCACTGGCCTCTAGGCTGGTGCACATGCTGCTGCCTCTGTGTCTGCTCCCCGTCATCTCTCTGTGCGGCTGGCCCTTGTCATCTACCCAGTCTCTGTTTTGAGGTGTCCTCCTCAGAGGGGCTGCCCTGGCCACTCTTGCTTGAGTGGCCCCCACCGGCCTTGTTCTTCTGGATCTTGGGCCCTCGACTGTCTCCTCCATCCCTCACGTACCAAGTTCTGCTCCACTTCTTTGTTTTTAATTTTTATTTATTTATTTATTTATTTATTTATTTATTTATTTTTGAAACAGCATCTGGCTCTGTCACCCAGGCTGGAGTGCAGTGGCGCAATCTCGGCTCACTGTAATCTCGGCCTCCCAGGTTCAAGCAGTTCTCCTCCCTCAGCCTCTCAAGTAGCTGGGATTACAGGTGTGTGCTACCACGCCTGACTAATTTTTGTATTTTTATAGAGACGTTTTGACTAATTTTTGTATTTTTGTAGAGACGTTTCATCATGTTGGCCAGACTGGTCTTGAACACCTGACCTCAGGTGATCCACCCGCCTCGGACTCCCAAAGTACTGGGATTACAGGCATGAGCAACCACGCCCATCCTGCTCCACTTCTTTGTTTACCTATTGAGTGACAGTCCCTCTGACTAAATTGTAAGCCCCAAAAGGACAGTCTCTCTTGTTTGCCATCCTGGCAAATCGTGCGTTTGAATGCATTACTGTTTTCTAGAGAAGAACACTGAGGCTCACAGAGGTGATGAAACTGGCCCCAGGTGAGATCCCACAGTCAGAACTCAAACATGGGTCTCCGACTGCAGGGCCAAACTGTCCTTCATGCCCCTGCCCTGGCCTCTCTGATTTGTCAGTGTTTGGGGTGGTGTTCTCATCCTTCCCGACCATCCTGGGCCTGGGCGCGGGGCTGGTGCTGCTGTGGGAGGATGGCTGGCTCCACTCCAGCCTAGAACTGTCTCCCCTGGAAGCTGCTTCTCTGGAAAAGACTCATCCCCAGGGACCCCTCCCAGCCTGTCTCACCTCTGGGGCCCCTCTGGCACTGAGGCTTCCTCCCAGACAAGCCTTGGGACTGTGGGGATGGACAGACAACTCTTCTCTGCTTTGGGGCAGCAGCTGGAGAGGAGCCTAGGCCTCTCAGCCCTGGGCCATGAGCTGGGCCCAGAGTCTTCCTCCTCATGCCTGCTGGAGCCGGTGGGATTGGGGCTGCTCTCTGCCCCAGCCCCTGGCCCCGCGGCTCCCCAGCCCTGACCTGGCCCAGTGTTGCAGCATTTGTTAATGCAATTAACAGGGCGGTCCATGCTGAAGGGCTGGGGGCCAAGGTCTGACTCACACCTCCCCTTCCTCCCCTCCAGCCGCCAAACCCAAACGGTAGAGGCCCGCTTGGTCTGCCAGACAGCGTCTGCAGAGAGCAAGTGAGGGGCCAAGAACGGCATCTTTCTCTCATTAGGAGGTTTTATGCGAACACAACTGCTATTTTGGAGCTGGGCACTTGGCCGGCCCCTGAGCCCCAGTGCAGTTTCCAGCCGTCCTGAGCCATGGTCCTGGCACAGCTGTGTGGGAGCTGGGTGAGCCCCTGAGGCCCTGACTTCTCCCACAGCCTGGGGGCTCGGGTCCTCAGTCAGGGCCTGGGAGACACAGCCCCTGGGCAGAGCTTGAGAGTGGAGAGAGCGATTCTGAGGTGGATTCCGAGGGTGGATTCCGAGTGTGGGTGTGAGCCAGACAGGGATTCCCTGGGCTAGGGGATCTCTGACATCAGGGTCCCTCTCCTTCCTGTGGAAACCAAAAGTCAAGGTTGTGGAGAAACAGCTCAGGGCCACAGGTGGACCCCCCAGTAAGCAGATTCCAGGGACAAACTGAGGTCTCCAGGTGAGGGTCCCAAGTTGGATGCCCAGGGGTGTCTGAGGTAAATACTGTGGATGAGGTGCAAACTGTCCCGTCTGCGAAGGCCTCTAGCTGTGAAAGGGGACAGGGCCCCGGCCTGAGGAGGGGATCGGGTGGCTCAGTGGATAGGGTCTTAGCATCCCACTGGCACAGATTTTAGGGAAAATGGAGGTTTAACCTGGGAAGCAGCTGAGCTTCAGGAATGGGGGGCTGGGCCCAGAGTCTGGAGTTGAAGTTCTTCCCCCAGACCAGAGCGGGTGGCACTGGAAGCCACTGAGGAAGGGAGAGGCTAAAGGGGCCCACCCTGAAGTTGGTGCCTCCTCTATCTAACGGGTCATAGATGGAGGGCAAAGGTGTCTCTGGGGCCCAGGAGAGAGAGCCGATGACAAACGCCTTGCCCGGGGGGTAGGGTGGCAGTGGGGAGGGGCCTGGCTATATTTGACACCTAGAAAGCAGTCCCCACCCAGCACCATGGCCCTTGGTTGTTTATCTCTGTAACCAGGGCTTGATCCCTGGAGACGTGTTTGAGTCCCAGCTCTGTGTCCTGGGGCAAGTGACTGGGCCTTTTCTAGCCACAGGGCCTCGTCCATAAAATGGGCATAACAATCTATATAGAGTTGGTTTTGGGGATGAATGATATGAACGTGATAGCTCTTACTGTGCGCCAGGTACCATTCTAAGCGCTTCATATTGTTCATTTTTAATCCTCACAACAGCCCTATAAGCTAGATTGGATTTTTATCCTGAGGGCCTGAGTTGACATTGCCCTTTCCTGGGGAAAGGGTCATAGCCAAGAAGCTCAGAGGCCATCTGGCCTCTGGGGGAGTGGTTAGTTTTGTTGTTGTTTTAGGCTTTGCTGTGCTGGCCAGTGGAACTTCCTGTGATGATGGAAATGTTCTATATCTTGCTGTCCAGTGTGGTAGCCCTGAGCCACATGTGGGTATCGAGCACTTGAAATATGGCTTGTGAGACTGAAGGAACTGAATTTTAAATTTTATTTAATCTGAATCCATTTAAATTTAAATAACCACATACAGTTCGTGGCTACAGTGTGAGACTCTCTTGAACAGCACAGCTTTAGAGAGTACAAAGTACACCCACGTCCAGGTGCTCAGCTGACACTCACAACAGCTCTTTGAAGCAAGAATTATCAGCCCCATATCGTGGACGAGGCCACTGGCACACTGGTGGAGACATCTCAGCGAGATGACATGTGTCCAAGGTCATGCAGCTGAGATGTAGCAGAGCTGGGGTCAAACCAAACCAATCCTCCTGCCCCCGACCCCGTGTTCTTGCTACTACCCAGTAGCCAATGAGCAGGGGCTCTGAGCAGATGGTAGGAGCAGCCTGCATGGGGTGGTCGGGAGGGGCTGTTTCTAGAATCTCTCCCAGGCCTGCCCATTCTGAGTTTGGTCCCTTCCCAAAAGTAGGGGTTTTGTGTGGAAAATCTGAGCAAACCTCTGTTGACTGTTCTGGGGTGGAGTGAAGGGAGAAGGGGCTCAGCTAGGAACATGGGGAGATTAGGGGAACAATGCCTTTTATTTCTTGCTTTTAAAGCAATTTCAGGAGTTTTCTTCCTCTTTTGGCGTCCTGCTGACTCCACAGAGCGGAACACCCAAAGCTGGGACTTTCCACCTCTCTAATGCTCAGTGAAGAGCGGGCCAGGGGGGTGTGGAAAAGAAAGGGTCCTGGAGGAGCCCAAATTACGAATGGCTAGAGACTGGCATTGGCAAGCGAGGAGGCTTCGTCACAGTGTAGTCTTCCGGTTGTCCGAGGGTACTGTCCCAGGGGCTGGGGGGTATTCCGTCTTCTGCAGATCAACTCCCGCAGGCTAAATGTGGACATCGCGGTATCATGCTTGATAAACGGACCAATAATCAAGTGGAGATTCATTAGAACCACATAACCCATACTAGGTTGATTTCTCAAGTATAAGGCCTGGTCTGTTGCCCAGGCTGGAGTGCACTGACACCATCATGGTTCACTGCAGCCTCAAACTCCTGAGCCCAAGTGATCCCTCCCACCTCAGCCTCACAAGTAGCTAAGACTAGAGGTGTGCACCATCACACCCAGCTAATTTTTAAAGTTTTTTTTGTAGAGATGGGGTCCCACTCTACAAAATATATAAGTATAAGGCCTGGTCTGTTGCCCAGGCTGGGCAACCCTTGGACTAAGGCAATCCTCCAGCCTCAGCCTCCTAAAGTGCTGGGATTACAGGCGTGAGCCACCGCACCCACCTCTAGGATCTCTACTATTGAGGAAAAATTGGAGGCATCAAACTCCAAGGGCAAAACATGAAGACTCGCTGGCCCACCATGGATGGAGGTTTTCTCTCTTAAAATTCCCACAGCACCGCATGGAACTGCCTCTCCTGGGACCTCAGCGTTTCCTTCTTTGCTCTAAGCAATAGCCTCTGCCACTGGAGATTCTGAGATGGCCGATTTCCTTTTGGATATTTAAGTTTTGAAATCATGCTCATTTGGCATAGGAATGTTTCACTTCAGTCTCCTTTAAACAAAAGGACACACAACCACGATTGCCCCTCCCTCCCGAAGGGTCACTGGACTTCATGCATCAGTAATGTTTCCAAAAATATCTTAAGTACCAACATGCAGTGGCCAGCTTTTCATTTTTCCAAGTGAAGCCATCAGGAAAAAACAAAAAACAAAACTAATTACCACTTGTCATCACCTTTAATTAAAAAGAACATTTTAACTCCAAAAATGTAGAAAAGACATCATCTCAAAAGACACTCTTTAGATGGGAAAAATATAGCCTATGAAAAAGAAACAACCCAGGAAAGTGTTTCTTTTCCTGACTTTATGGCAGATGGGTAAAAACTGTCAGAACTGTCCCATTCATAGACAGGCACTGGAAGCCACCATCATGGACCATTTAGGGGTGACTTTTGGGGGAATGGAGAGAGAGGAGAGGAGTCTACATACTTCAATCCCATAATGCAAACACTCAGCTCAAAACACAATGCTTAATTTCCGTGAGGAAGCCAGGTAGTTCCAGGCATCTTGCCGAGACTTGTGAAAACAAGAGAGGATGCGAGTGAAGCCGGCGAGAGCTGGTTCTAAACCTCCAAAAACCTGAAACTTCTTGGAGGCTCTGCCTCAGCAGATTGGGCCTCTGCACAGCATCCTACATGGTTAATTCAGAAGGGTTACCTTCCTGAGGGGATTTTTCCCACCAACACGTCTGGCTGGTTTGGAAGCCTTTTAGAACTTGATTTACTAGGCTATTATATACTAAATGCCATTTCCACAGTTCCCCCTAACCACTCATTTCCCATGAGCTGTTTGTTCATTGTACCAACCAAAGTTTGCCAGCCCTAACCCTCACTGAAGACCTAATTCCCTGCTTGGAAAATGGTTTCTAGGAATGTGGGAACCCCCACTGGCCAGGGCTTCTCCCTCTGCAGGGCCCAGTCTTGTTCACCTTTCTGGCCTCGGCACCCAGTCTGATCAAGATAAGGTGCTCACTACATGTTTTCGGAATGTATTATTAGCAAGCAAGGCAGAACCAGAGCTAAGTGAGTCGTGGTGTGCCGTAGGGGCTTGGCTCACAGGGTTTGGGGTCTTGGATTTCTAGACAGTGAAAGATCTTATTTTATATATATATTTAATTTCAATAGCTTTTGGAGTACAAATGGTTTTTGGTTACATGGATAAATTGTTTAGTGGTGAAGTCTAAGATTTTAGTGCACCCATCACCGGAGTAGTGTACATTTTACCCAATATGTAGTTTTTTTTCCGCAACCCTTCCCACTCTTTCCCTTCTGAGTCTCTAAAGTCCATTGTATCACTCTGTATGCCTTTTCATACCCATAGCTTAGCTAGCTTAGCTCCCACTTGTAAGTGATGACATGTATTTGGTTTTCCATTCCTGAGCTACTTCACTTAGAATAATGGCCTCCAGCTCCATCCAAGTTGCTGCAAAAAGACATTATTTCATTCTTTTCTATGACTGAGTAATATTCCATGGTGTATATATATATCACATTTTCTTTTTCTTTTCTTTTTCTTTTTTTGAGGCAGAGTCTCACTGTCGCCCATGCTGGAGTGCAGTAGCACGATCTCGGCTCACTCCTGGGTTTAAGTGATTCTCCTGCCTCAGCCTCCCGAGTAGCTGGGATTACAGGCACCTGCCACCACACCTGGTTAATTTTTTGTATTTTTAGTAGAGATGGGGTTCACCACATTTTCTTTATCCACTCATTGGTTGATGGGCATTAAGTTGGTTCCATATCTTTGCAATCATGAATTGTGCTGCAGTAGACATACACGTGCGGGTGTCTTTTTGATAGAATGACTTCTTTGCCTTTACTCAGTAGTGGGATTGCTGGATTGAATGGTTGACCTACTTTTGGTTCTTTGAGAAATCTCCATACTGTTTTCCATAGGGGTGGTACTAATTTACATTCCCACCAGCAGTGTATAAGTGTTCCCTTTTCACCATGTCTGTGCCAACATCAATTGTTTTGTGACTTTTTAGTAATGGCCATTCTGGCTGGGATAAGGTGGTATCTCATTGTGGTTTTAATTTGCATTTCCCTGATGACGAGTGATGTTGAACATTTTTTCATATATTTGTTGTATGAAGGATCTTATTGTTAATGTGAAGGATGGGCTGTTCTCAGGGCTCAGGAGGGGAAGGATGGAAGCTAGACTGTTTTCCAAAGGCCATCCTCGGGGCAAGGACCACACACTCAGAGGTGGAAGCTGCATGACCTTCCTCTCACCCACGCCGGGCTTTGGGTCTCTGTGGCAGAGAGGTGTGGGTCCATGTGGGAGATCACTCAGGCCTTCCCATTCTATTCCCTCCCTAAAAAAACCCCAAGGCCGAGACCTGCCCTGGGCACATCTGCTTCCTCCATGTTCACTAGCACTGGCGTGGCTGCTGGGCTGGCCCCAGCTGACCATGTTTCCAGTGGTGGTGGTGACAGGGGCCTGGCAGGTGGTCAGGTGGGGACTAAGTATGCTTGGGCAGATGGAGGGGTGGCCAGGCCAAAATCCTGCCGTGGTGGCAGTTTGTGTTTGGGGAAGTGCTCTGGGTTACAATTCTCTGACATGGTTTTACCTAGAGGCCTGGAGCCTGCCAGGAAGAGGTGCCTGGGCATGAAGAAAAATGCTCTGGCCTCAGAGCCCAACTTGTGGTTGGAATGCTATTAAAACCTGTTATTTCCCATGCTCTCTGCTGATAGACTGGTCTTGAGTGCCCTTGGTGCACAATGTCCAATTTATTCATCCTTTGTGTCTCTGGTCAGCATCACCTCCTCCAAGAAGCCTTCCCTGACTTTCCCTACTCCCTGCCTCAGCCTGGGTTAGAGGGTCCAGCTGACATAGCACTTGTCATATAACTTGTGTGTTCTACTTTCCGTGTCAGACAGTGTGCTGGAGACACTATCACAAGCTTCACATCCAGTGAGTGCTCTACGAATGCTCATTGGATAAGCCCATGAGATGACGTACATCCTCCATCATTATTTAAAAATTCTGTGTGGGCTTTGGAAGGGTGTGTGGTCCTGGGGTCTCCACTGTCAGGGCCAATTGAGATGTGCAGTTTCTCAGGGCAGAGTTCCCAAGGGTGCATTTGGTGGCTGACTTGAAGCCAACAGATCCCCTTTATTTCCTTATCAGCTCTGGGCCAAGGCTCAGAAATAGTAGAGAGGAAGAAGAAGAACCATGCCCACCCTTCTGGGAGTCAGTGGGGGTGGAAAGAGCCTGGGCTTCTCAGTCACATAGAACTAGATTTGAATCCTGGCTCCACCATTAACTAGCTGGGTGACCTCAGGCAAGTCTCTTAACCTCTCTGAGCTTCAGCAGCATTATCTGTAAAATGGGAATCATAGTCACACCTGCTGCATAGAATTGTCGAGAGGCTTCAGTGAGAGCGTGTATGCAGAGCACGGTGCCAGGCCTATTGTCACACTCATCAGACAGTATCTGCCATAATAAAAATAATAATAATCATGTTATTGTTAGGCATATGTTAGGAGCTAAAGTTACAAAGAGGTGTAAGAGACAGTCACTACACTTCAAGGGGCTGACTATATGAGTCAGGAAATTGAGACACATGCATAAAAAAACTAATGGCAGCGGCCTCGTGCGGCGGCTCACACCTGTAATCCCAGCACTTTGGGAGGCCGAGGTGGGCGGATCACCTGAGGTCGGGAGTTTCAGACCAGCCTGACCAACATGGAGAAACTCCGTCTCCAATAAAAATACAAAATTAGCAGGGCATGGTGTCAGGCGCCTGTAATCCCAGCTACTCGGGAGGCTGAGGCAGGAGAATCACTTGAATCTGGGAGGCGGAGTTTGTGGTGAGCCGAGATCGCGTCATTGCATCCAGCCTGGGCAACAAGAGTGAAACTCCGTCTCAAAACAAAAACCCAAAAAACAAAAACAACAACAACAAAAACTAATGGCAGTATGCAGGGCACGCCCAGTGAATGGCAAACACGACAAGTGTTTTTCCTGTTAATCAAAGGAGGGAGCAGCTGCTGAGAGGTGGGTGTCCAGCATGGGGAAGTGGGTCTTGAGGGAACAGTAGGAGCCAGGTAAATGGAGAGCAAGTGGGAAAGAAGAGAGGACATAGCACATGCAAAGACAGAGAGAAGACAGAGCAGAGGCTACCTGGGGCCACAGCCAGCAGGCCAGCTCGGCTGGAGCACATTGGCTTAGAGGAATGTTAGAGGGGATGAGACCAGGAGGGTCTTCAGCGCTCGTCTATGGACTTGAATCCTGAAGACATCAGGGAGCCATTGAAGGTCTCTGTGACATGGGCCAGGTGGAATTTTGGAGATGTTTATCCCGGCCAGCCCCTGGTTTGGATTCTGGTACTCTTCTCAGAAAGGAGAGTTCAGCTCACAAAACCCAGGAACCTGCTCTGGGTAGCTGTGCCTGGTAGTTTCACAGGTGCCCTTAGGATCCCTGAGATGACAGGGTCTGTGTATCTGCCTCCTCTTCCTCACTGACCTTGCCTACACCTCCTCCGCCACCAGACCCTGGCCTTCCTGGGTCTCTGGCGGCTTCTCGAGTATGCCACGTTCCTTCCAGCCTCCACAGCCTGGTCTTCGCCTCGTCCTCTGCTTGGGAAACTGCCCAGGTCTTTGGGGGTTCGCTTCCTTTGCACGCTCCCATCTCTCTCTTCAGAGAGGTGCCCTGGCCGCCCCATCTGAGTCTCCTGGTTCGGCCTGGACCCCTGCATCACCTGGGTTGTCTTCACAGCCCTTGAAACTGCCTGAGGCCACATCATGCTATTGTTTTCTTGCTTCCTGTTGGTGTCCTTTACTCGACCGCAAGCCCCAGATGGACAAGGACTTTGTCCCAGTGCCTGACATTCACTAGGGCTCAACAGCTATTTGTTGAATGAATGAGCGACAGATGGATGAGGCATTGGGTTTCGAGGGTGCGGTGTGAGCCAGACCATGCTTCCGGGGCTCACATGTGTTCCCCAGTGGAGGTCCTGGTGGGGGAGGGGCCGGACTCCATATCCCAGTGTGTGCCTCTGCGTGGAATGTTCCCTTGGCCATTAATCATGGGATGTGGCTCTGGACTTTGCAAGGGGGTGAAGGACAGTGAAGAGAGGAGTCAGCCTGGGGAGCTGGTGGCTAATGCTGCATAGGGCTAACCGGGAGGAGGGCCTGGTTTCAGCTCCACCTTGCCTCCGGCTGGACCCACAGCCCAGGAGGCAGAATCCAGAGAGAGCCTGAGCCTGAACAGAGGCCCCACAGAGCGGGGCACTTACCTGGCCGGCAGCGGCTGTGGTGCCGGCAGCTATATTCTGGCCACCGTGCTTTCTCTGGCCGCAGTCGAGAGTTCTGCCTTGCTAAGGAGGGTGGGAGATGGAGAACAATGGGAAGGAGAGGAGAGACCGTCAAGCTGAAGGTGCCTTTGAAGGACCCTTAGAGTCCTCCAGCCTCCTTAGTTCACCCCTCCCGTGATTTAGGCGCAAATAGAGGCTCAGTGAAGTCAAGACCATGCAGCTCACAAGTGACAGGAAAACCCCAGCAACTCAAACCGCTTGAATTTCAGGCCAGTGTTGGGCCCTTTCCCGCAAAAGAGACTGATTCATTCATCCATTCGCTCCATGTTTACTGAGAATCTACTCTGTGGCAATCCCTAGTCAAAGTTCCGGGGCCGCTGTCTGTCCTCAGGGGGCTTCCAGTCTGGTGGGAGTGAACATTTCAGTATAGACACAGTGTCAGGCAGTGCACTTCCTCTTCAGGGTGTGCTGTGGGACGTGGTGGTGTGAGCCACTCTGCAGCTGGCCATATAGTCTTTGGTTGTCCAGAGATCAGAGGTGAACAAGTCCTGGGGGTCTGTGGATGGAGGTGGGAGAGACATGGGTCAGGGAGCCCCCTGAGGCCAGGAGAGTGGCTTCCTGCTTGAGCGACAGGGTTGCAGCACTCAGGAGGGCCCTTCTGACAGGAAGGTGTGGGCAGCTGTGGTCTCAGTGCCCTATGGCCACTGCTGTCACCTCTCTCCCTGTGTCCTCAGCCGTTTGCGAGCCGCCGTGCCAGAACCGGGGCTCCTGCAGCCGCCCGCAGCTCTGTGTCTGCCGCTCTGGTTTCCGTGGAGCCCGCTGCGAGGAGGTCATTCCCGATGAGGAATTTGACCCCCAGAACTCCAGGCTGGCACCTCGACGCTGGGCCGAGCGTTCACCCAACCTGCGCAGGAGCAGTGCGGCTGGAGAGGGCACCTTGGCCAGAGCACAGCCGCCAGCACCACAGTCGCCGCCCGCACCACAGTCGCCACCAGCTGGGTAAGTCCCCTTCTCCATGGGGCTTGGGGTCTGGGGCTCAGTCTCTTTTTGGAGGGGCTTCTTCCTTTGGACCGTTTGGTGAAGGCTGGTGGAGAAGGCCGCAGAGTCCTCCCTTCTCTCCTCCCCACCCTCCTTGGCTTTCCCTGGCATGGCCAGAGATATGAGCAGGAGAGTAGGTGTTGGGGCTGGCATGGGCTTTGCCAGCCTGGGGTGGGAAGAGGAGGAGGGAAGCGAAGTCTTTGCCCTCGAGTGCCTGAAAGAAAGCTGAGGAGGGCGTGTACCTGGGACCACGGCTTCTTGGTTCACAGCCTGGCTTTGCCATTTCCCAGGTGGGCCACCCCAGGCGAGTCACTTACCTCTCTGTGCCTCGGATTCTGCATCAGTAAGGTGGGACAATGATAATACCTGTGCTATGAATTGTCGTAAAGATTAAATTAGTCAATATAAAGAAAGTGCTTAGAACAGTGCCTGGCACATATGGAAGCTCTTTATACTTGTTCTCCCACACCCCATCCTGACCTCCTCCTCCTCTGCCTGTGGTCCCTGTGATGTAGGAAGGACTCCTCTGCCAGAAGAAGACCCTTCGGTTTCCTCGGCACCCAGCTTCAGCCTCTCTCCTTAGAGGGGAGAAGAAGGAGCATGTGGGAGAAGGGAGTAGAAAGAAAAGTGAACAAGGGGAGTGTTCATGGGCAGGATTCCCTGGCCTGCTTGCCAGCCCATCTGGCTAGACTTTTTCTAGCTCAGGACAGGAAATCTGAACTTTATAAACGAGTCCATTTCTAGGGGACTGTGTTTTCCTTTTCGTTTTTCAGGTTAGTTTTTCCATTCGCTTTCTGCTTAAGAAGTTCTTTCTGAAATGTTGCAACCTTGCCTTGCTGAACTAAAGGGAAAGAGGATTTGCTCTTTCAGAGCCCAGGAGAACCAGGGAGAGGAGGCCGACCTTGAGGTTAGGTTCCAGCAGGAAAGGTTAGGAGAGACTGGCTGAGTTGGAGGGAGAGCAAAGAAAGGAGGTTGAGGGTGTCCAGGAACTCTGAGAGTGGGTGAGGTCAGGCGGACCAGGATCTTGGTGAGCTGGGTTCCGGGGCCCTGGTCACCCAAGCAGATGTTTTCCAAGGGCAGCTAGGAGCAGGAAGAAAGAAAGGATGGACTCAGGTCAAGGGCCTAGGGAACTCCAAGGTCAAGAGCAAAAGAGCCAAACCCTGCAGCCAAGGCCCAGGGGTGCTGCAGCAGAAACAAGGAGCAGAGCTAAGGGTCCCAGGTGGATAACAATGAGGGCCTGGGATTGGCAGTGAGCAGGTGGGCAGTGCCGGTGCCTTGTTCTGATCGGTCCTGGCTGAGGGTCCTAGGTGGTAAGCCTGGTGTAAGGCACCTGGAGGAATACTAGAGGTGCCAGTTCAAGGGCCAGCCAGGGCAGGGGTGGGCACAGAGTCCTTCCAGCAGAGCTTCCCCCATCTCTTTTGGCTTGTGGGATTCATTTATTTATGATGCACTGATCCCATGTAGGTGTGTGCTAGGAGCAGGGGTTGCTGGGCAAGTCACTCTGCCTCTCACACTCTTGAATCTTGAGTCAGAGCCGTTTGAAGTCCCCTGCTGCATCTTCCCACCAGTCTGACTCCTCCCCATTCTTCAAGGTGAATCACATTCACTAGGCTCTCTGGCCCCTGCAGCACTTACTCTCTGGCATGCATCTGCGCCCTGCACCCCCAGCTGCTTGTAGACCCAGTGGCCTGTGCTCTGGATTTCTCTACAGCCCCCCTGCATAGTGCCTGGCCCATCAAAAATGCTCAGTCCATATTTGCTCTGACACTGGGTCCAAACTACAGTTAGCCTAACAAAAGGGCCTACTTGGCGCTGAACCCTCAGCTGTACCTGCAGCCAAGGGCACCACCCCATGTGTTGCTCAGAGGGCAGGAGGAGGTGAGGCCCCTGCCGGTTCCCATGGTGGGTTCTCCATTTTTCCCTAGCGCAGCACTTTTCACCCTGCCTTCAGATGATCTGTCCATTTGCTCACTGGACCAGGAGCTACCCGGGAGCTCACAGGGACTGTGTTCTGCTCATTCAAAATTGTGTCCCTGGTACCTAACACCATGCCTGGCACACTTCTGTGCTCAATCAGTGTAAGTTAAATGGATAAATAAATGAGGCTAGGTGATGGGGAGAGGGGAGGCTGCAAGGCCAGGAGGATGGGCAGTGTGAGCCTTCTATCCCCCAGTGAAGGTTTCCTGTGTGTGACAGGCAGTGGAGGGCCAAGGTCCTGGGTGAGGTCTCTGGCCCACAGCAGGGCTGTCCTCTTTGACTTTCACAGGCTCCCTGGCCAGGGGCTACTGTGATGTTCTTAATGAGCTGCAGCCTCCAGGCCAGCCTAGTCTCTCTGTGCCCTGGGGCCTCAATGCCATGAAATCTGGGAGTGCCCTACTGTTGGCCCAGCTGCTGGCCCAGCTGTGTTTTGCTTTAGGAGGCCAAATCCTGCTTGCCTGGTGGTGTCAGACATTTCCTGTGACCTTGGCCAGGTTTCTCAAGCAGTTGCTGGCCTCTCTCCTGATAGCAACTTGGACAAGCCCTGTGTGTCCAGATAGAGGTGGTGACATGACACAGGGGGCATTCTAGGAGTTGGGGAGGGAAATGTCTGGGGAGGGGAACACTGCAGGGATTGGTGATGGCCAGAGGCCCTCTTTAGGAGAGCAGGCAGAGACCGAGAGACTTGTGTCCTGGAGGAAGACCAGAGGGAGAGGCCAGGAGTGTCCCAGGCAGCAGGCAGGGTGCCCTACAGAGGGCCAGATGTGGACTGATGCTGTCCAGCTGTTGTCTGGGCTGACTGGAGGGGCCTGGAGACTCCCTTGAGCCTCATGTCCTGGCTTCTTCCCCAAGGCTGGGCAGAGTACCTGCCTCACCTGGAGATCAAAAGCCAGGCAGCTGGGAAGGGCCTGGAGAGATGGGAGAGGGCTGGTTACAGGAACCTGCAACCAGCAGGCTTTGGAAAGCAGTGGTTTAGACCAGCACTTCTCAAACTGAAACCAGTAGGTAAGTCACCTGGGAACTTGTCAACATGCAGGTTCTGATTCGGCAGGTCTAGGATGATCAGCTCTAACGTGGTCCCACAGGATGCTGATGCTACTGGGCCACGGACCATATTTTGAGTAGTGAGGGTTAGAGCCCGGGCTTTGGTGCATTCTAATTCTGGATTTAGCACTCACCAGCTGTGTGTTAACAGGCACTCATCCTAACCTCTCTGAGCCAATAGTGTCCACCTGATAGGATGACAGGAAAGATTAAATGAGACCATGTGAGTAGAACACTTAGTGTGGTGCCTGATATGAATTAGTGTTCAATACATGATAGCTGTCAATGGGCAGGATCTCTTTGCTGTGAGGACTTGGGTGGATGGGAGGAGGTGGCAACAAGCAGAGAGAGGAAACTGGAGTGTGTGTGTGTGTGTGTGTGTGTGTGTGTGTGTGTATGTATGTGTGTGTGTGCATGTACACAGAACAGGTGTAGACCTGTTCTGGGAAGAAATCAGAGCCCAGACTCAGCCTCAGTGGTCAGCAGGTCCAGTAGTGGCTTTGGCTGGCTTGGGATACAGTTATTCCACCAGGACCATTGTCACCAGCCCTAGGGAAGAGGAGGTTAAGGGGAGGTGTCAAGAATGGGAGGGACCTCCACTGGGTTTGCTCTAGACCTGAGGACCTAGAGGCTGAGCCCTGGAGACATCCTACACAGGCTTGAGAAGAATCACTTGAACCCAGGAGGTGGAGGTTGCAGTGAGCTGAGATGGCACCATTGCACTCCAGCTGGGGTGACAAGAGTGAAACTCCATCTCAAAAAAAAAAAAAAAAACAACAACCCTAGGCAGGCTTTGTCACAACATGGGCAACAAGGGGCCTGAAGGCAGTGCTGAGCCCTGAGTGGGGTGGCTGGGGTGTGTCTGGGGAGCTGTGACCCTGTGGTGGTGGCTTCCAGCAGGCTGCTCCTGCCTGGTCGCTCCCTCTCCTCTGGATCTCTTCCTCTCTGCACACCCCACCTCTTTATCCACTGTATTCGTTTTCTATGGCTGCCATGACACACGATCACAAAATTAGCAGGTTAAAACAACACACATTTATTTCTGTACAGTTGTATAGGTCACACATCTGAAACGGGTCTCACCAGGCTGAAATCAAGGTGTCAGCAGGCTCCTGGGGCTCTAGGGGGGCTCGGTTTCCTCGCTCATTCAGGTTATCTGCAGAATTCAGTCCCTTGCAATTGTAAGACGGAGGCCCCATTTCCTTGCTAGCTGTCACTTGAGGGCCATATCAGGAGCTGCCCTCATTCCTTGGCTTGAGGCCACCTTCCTCCATCTTCAAGGCCAGCAGCAGCAGGTGGACTCCATGTTTGGATCTCCCCTCTGCCTGCCTCTTTGGCTGTCTGTCTCCCTGACTCACTCCCTTGCCTCCCTCTTCTACTTTTAGGGGCCTATGTCATGACCCTGGGCCCACCAAGATAATCCAGGACCATCTCTCTATTTTAAGGTCAACTGATTAGCAACCTTAACTCCATCGGTAACCCTAATTTCCTTTTGCTATTTAATATAACATATTCAAAGGTGTAACCCCAGGAACAGAGATCATGGGGGCCAACCACACCCACTCACTACAGCACATTCCAACTGGGACCCTTGTCCAAAGTGGAAGAGCTCCCTCTTATCAAGGGCTTGCCACAAGGGTGGCCCTATGTGATCTGGCCCCAAAGCCTGTCTGACATCCCCAGTGTCCACCCTCACCACTCACAGCCCGTGTTCATCCTGCTTCTGCTCTGCCAGCTGACTGTATTTTCCTCAAATGTGCTGGAGATGCTCCCACCTCAGGGCCTTGGCACTTGCTATCCCCCTCCCTGGAGCCCTGGAATTATTATTATTATTTTTTTTTGAGACAGGGTCTCACTCTGTCACCCAGGCTGGAGTGTAGTGTCACAGCTCACTGCAGCCTCGACCTCCTGGTCTCTTGCAATCCTCCCATCTCAGCCTCCCAAGTAGCTGAGACTACAGGTGTGCACCACCATACCCAGCTAATTTCTGTATTTTTTTATAGACGTGGTTTCACCATGTTGCCCAGGCTGGTCTCCAACTCCTGGGTTCAAGCGATCCTCCTGCCTTGGCCTAAGTGCTGGGATTACAGGCGTGAGCCACTGCACCTGGCCCCTGTGTTAGTTTTCTAAGGCTTCCATAACACACTGAGTGGCTTAAAATAGCAGAAATTTATGCTCTTATAGCTCAGGAGCTGGAAGTCCAAAAATAAAGGTGGCAGGATTGGTTCCCTCTGAGACTCTGAGGGAGAAGGTTCTGTGCCTCTCTGCTAGCATATCTGTTGGCAATCCTTGGCCTTCCTTGGCTTGTAGCTGCATGACCTTGACCCCGCCTCAGTCATCACGTGGCCTTCTTCCTTGTGTGTGTCTGTGTGTCTCTGTGTTGTCTTCTTCTTATAAGGGTTCAGCCATTGGATTTAGGGTCCTCCCTAATCCAGTGTGAAGTCATCTAAACCTAACAACATCTACAAAGACTCTATTTCCAAACGAGGTCACATTCATAGGTCCGGGGTTAGGACTCACGTCTTCATGAGGACACAATTCAACCCGCATCAAAACACTCTTCCCCTCACACTCCCGTGGCTTCTTCTCCCCTTTCCTTTGTAGTGGGGCCCTCTCTGTCCACCACATCTAAAACCATGCCCTCCACATCCTCCCCACCTCCCACCTGGCATTTTTCTCTGCAACACTAACGTCTTAGGTATTTTACCTATTTATTTGAATTCTTCTTCTTCTTACCCCAAGAAAGCGTCAGATGTGGGAGGACAGGGGTTTTTCTCTCTTTTCTTGGCAGAAATCTCTCCAGCACCTCGAGCATGACTCAGCCCATTGTAGCATTGAGTAAATACATGCCCAGAGTATGGTTGAGTCAATTAGCTGTCTACACCCATTTTGCTTTACGTCTACAATCGGCTGTCTACATCCATTTTGTTTTACATCTCACAACTCCCTACAACAGGTGGCCAGGGTTGCCGTTCTGTTGGTGAGGAGAGGCTCAGAGAGGGGAGGTAGCCTGTCCTTACCCCTTCCCAGCCTGGTATTTCCAGCACCTGTCCTCTGCCTGCACTAATCTCTCTGAGTTTTTGTCCGTGGGGAGACAGGGAAGGGCCAGGGCACCAGGGCAGCTCTTGTTGGAGGTCCAACCTCAGGTGGTGAGTGCCAGGACTGCTGGGAGCGTATGGCAGCATGTGCCTGCATGTGGGTGGTCACCTGGGCAGAGGCTCCCTACCTCAGAGCAGAACCCTGCCTTGCCTCAGCCTCCACGGCTCCACAGGAGCCCTGTTGGCACTTTTTGGCATGACCTTTAACCTACTGATGCTGAGAGTGATTGGCATGACCTTTAACCTACTGCACTGAGAGTGAGCCCACGGGTTTCCCGTGGCAGTGCTGCCTGCCTCCACCCAAGACCTTGACTAACTTTCCTGTTGGGAGCACAGGGACTCTGCTCCCAAGTCGGTGGTCTCTCTAAGTCTGAGGGAACGGAGGGAACTATCAAAAGATTGCTGCCCCAGAGCCACTGCCGGGGAGACCCAGGCATCCCTTCCTAGGGGCAAAGGTGCGGGGAAGGCAGCACCCCCTGGTTGACAAAATGGCAAGGGGTTTTCCCAGTGACGAGGCAGAATCAGAAACTAGGTGCTGGGGCCAGGCGCAGTGGCTCACACCTGTAATCCCAGCACTTTGGGAGGCAGAGGTGGGTGGATCACCCGAGGTCAGGAGTTCGAGACGAGCCTGGCCAACATGGCGAAACCCCGTCTCTACTAAAAATACAAACAATTAGCCAGGCATGGTGGCAGGCGCCTGTAATCCCAGCTACTTGGGAGGCTGAGACAGGGGAATTGCTTGAACCCGGGAGGCAGAGGTTGCAGTGAGCCAAGATCACGACATTGCACTCCAGCCTGGGCAACAAGAGCAAAACTCTGTCTCGAAAACAAACAAACAAAAAGCCTAGGTGCCAGGAACAGAGTGGCTGGGAACAGACACCCAGCCTGGGGACCTCAGTGTGGCAGCTTGTAAATTGTGTCCCCTTCCCCCAGTGCCAGCAGCAAAGGGGTTGGGGTCAGGGAGGACACAGGACAAGGCTCCCTGCAGGGCTGTTGTGGACAGGTCTGCTGATGATATCGTGAACCTAGAGGCGGGTTCAGGCTTGGCTGGCAGGAAGGAGGCCGTGTGGCACTGTTATGGGGGAGTGCAGACTAGTTTCTGACTGGGGCAGTGCTGGGTGCCCTGAGGATTAGAGTCTGGTGGCTGGATGAGGGGACATGAGTAGGGTGCCTGGTGGCCCAGTGTGTGTGTCAGGGGAGCCCGGGGCAGGGGGGTTAAATTTGGTGTTAGGCAGAATGTAAATCCTGATGCCCTCACAAACTTTGCAAGCCCCTTTACCTCCCTGAAACTCAATTTCTTTGACCTTGATGTGGGAAAATGAATGTCCATCTTCTACGATGGTTGGGAGAATTTACTGAAATAATGTAGCACGATTCGCGGGGTGTCTGCCACACAGTCGGTCCAATAAACCTGAAATCTCTTGGCCTACCTGCCTACTCCATGTGCTTATGACAGATCAGTGTGGAACACCTCATTTGCCAGGATGAGTTTTTCTGCACCTCACTGTCTGGGCTTATAGCTGGGGAAACTGAGGCAGGATGCAGGTTGGCCACTAGGTTGTGGGCCCACCTGAAGGCCTGCCCTGGCCTTCTGAGCCTGGCTCCTGCTCCAGCCCCTCCCACCGCTGCCACCCTCCCCTCTGGGCTTCTGTGTGCTGCTGCGGGCCTTCTGCTTGTTCCTTTGGGCTACGTGGCCCCCTCTTTGTCTTTCTTCCTTCTCATTCAAGTCCCTTGGACCCAAGATTGTTCTCTGATTCAGCTGTGACGTGCCAGAAGACCAACGTGTGCTCGGAGACCTTGGGAAAATCTTCTGCCCTTCCTGGGCTTGTTCCCGCATTTGTAAATCAGAGGGCTAGTGTGGATCTCCTCTAAGCTCAAGAGCTAATGGTCAGCTGGGCGCGCTGGCCATGCCTGTAATCCCAGCACTTTGGGAGGCTGAGACAGGCGGATCACTGGAGGTCAGGAGTGCAAGACCAGCCTGATCAACATGGAAACCCCATTTCTACTAAAGATACAAAAATTAGCTGGGTATGGTGGTGGGCATCTGTAATCCCAGCTACTTGGGAGGCTGAGATGGGAGAATGGCTTGAATCTGGGAGGTAGAGGTTGCAGTGAACTGAGATTGCGCCACTGTACTCCAGCCTGGGCAACAGAGTGAGACTCTGTTTCAAGAAAAAAAAAAAAAAAAAAAGAGATAATGGTCTAGGATTCCGGCCAGCCTGGCCATCTTCCATCCCTAATGGTGAAATGTGCTCATTCTCCCCTTTGCCTGTTTCCAAGGTTGTGACAAGAACATGTGAGCCTCTCACCAGGGCAGACCTTCGCTGTCCCTGACACCTTGGCAAGCCTGCAGAGGGCTAAGCAGCCTGCATCTTCTGTGCTGTGTCACCCATTTCCTCATGGCCACTGAGTTCTCTTTCTCTGCGGGGTTAACTCAAACCTACAAATCTGTGGTGGCCTCCGAGGGTTGAGCCCTTCTCTCTCTTTCTTTTCTTTTTTTAGCCTTTTTTTCTTTCTTTTTCCTGACCTGTTTGTATAACTCTGATTCCCAAAATTGCTCCTTGGGTTTTTCTGGAATTCCCCCAACACTTAGGACCTTGAAAACTATTTTGAATAGACTCGGAATCAGTAAACCCAATTTTGGCCTCTTAGTTACTAACTGGCCTTGTGACCTTGGGCAAGCCACTTAACATCACTAAGCATTAATGTCCCTTTCTGTAAAATGAGAGGGTTAATTCTCCCCTCACTGGGATGTTGTGAGAATTAACTAAGACGTGTGTGAAAGATTGCTTTGTGAGTTTTAACATGCCTTGCAAATGCTTGTTATTACTTTTTAGCTGTCCTGACACTGGGCTTGGGTATTTGCTCATGCCTGGTATATGTACAGAAGCCACTTTTAGGAAGAAGCTCCTTAATGAGGCCCTTGAGGAAATAGTTTAGAGGAAATCTTTTAATTTTAAGCTTAGGGAAGGACATCCCCTGTTGTGTCCATCTTAACACAACAACAGGGGATGTCCTTCCATCATATCATACTCTCTGTGACAGGTACCCCAAGAGTTGTACAGTGTACAGCGTATGCAGCTGTATGTGGTGACCCCAGACCTGGCTTCTTCCCTAGAAGGAGATGTCTCCCATTTTTCCAATATTTAATATTTTCAAACCTCAACTTGAGAGTCCTTTCCTCTGGCTCACTTTTTATTTCCACAGTACTTTCTATTTTCCACTTTCTAACGTAGCATATAATTTACTTATTTATTACATTGGTATATAATCCATTTTTCCCAGTTACTATATTCCTCAAGAGCAGGGATCTTTGTTTTGTTCACTGACATATCCCAAGCTCCTAGAATGGTGCCCAGGATATAGCAGGCCCTCACTAACTAAATATCCACTGAATGGACACCCCTGTCCTAACGCATCTTCTGTTGCTTCCTAGAGCAGAGAGATGGTCTCAGGGCCATTTCCTTCTGAGCTGATGCTCGGGCCATCCCCTAGCAAGTCACTGACATGGAGGGGCTCTCCCAGCCCTCCCAACAGGTGGTGCTTCCTCACCCTGTGCCCCTTGGCCCTGGGAGTCGGAAGCCAGGCAAACTGAGGGCAATGCCTCTCCCCTGAGGGCAGGGAGAGTGGGCTTGACAGACCCTCAGGAGTGCTGAGAGTCTGGACAGGGGGTTGTGGCAGCTGTAAAGGAGGCTCCTCCTGGTTTCTTCCATCTCTTGGGCCTTAGAAGAGCCCCCATGACTCCCCTTCCCTGGGGCTGTGGGTTTGGAAGAGGGAGGGCTCAGAGGGGTTAGGAAGAAGGGGAATGCTCACTGTAGGCCTCCAGCCAGATCCAATGGAAGAGATTTTATTTTCCCAAGTCTGAGGGTGCAGAAGCCCTGCTCATGCTTTTTGAGGAGAGTGGGAAGAGACCTTTGTCTCAGCCAAGAACTTCCTTCACCACCCACGCCCCATCTCCCTGCTGTTGCAGAGGGTAGGTTCTAGAAATGTGGATGGGCCACACTAAGGCTTGTGGAGGGTCCCTTGGCACTCAACCTCTGCCAGCCCCAGTGCATCCCTGTCCAGCAGAGACTATTTGGAGTGGCCAGATGGGTCTGAGGCACTGTGTTCCAGCCAGGCAGGGGAGGGACGCCTGCTGTTCTGCATTGGACCTTTCAGCTGTTGGACACAACACCAGGGGTTGTCCTTCACATTATAGTCTCTGTGACAGGTAACCCAAGAGTTGTGCAGTGCACAGCCTGTGCAGCTGTATGTGGTGATACTAGACCTGGCTTCTTTCTGGGAAGGAGAGAGATGTCTCCTATTTCCCTTACAAAGTGTATTGCTTCAAGGCCGTCCTTTCCAGCTGGGTTTGGCTGTTGAGGTCCCTTCGAGGTTCCCCTGAAAGGGGGATGGATCTCTGGGCCTTTGTAGTGTTAACGTGCATCTCTCCAACCCACACAAATACCTGAGATCCATGGAGGTCAGGCCCTGAGCAGGCCACGGCTGGCCTTAGGGGGTACAGGTGTGGGATGATAAAAAGACTCCAGCTCTGGGCAGATGTAGCCCAGGGCACACGGTCTAGCTATGCTTTGATCCGGAGCCTAGAAGTCCCAGGAGAGGTTGTGAGGAAGGTGGGGGCCAGTGTGCCTTCCTTCTTCTGCGTGATAAAGCCGGCAACCTCTTCCTTTTCTCATGCTGGGCACAGAGCAGACATCTCTGGGTTGGTGAGGATGCCGAGCTCAGGCCTCTGAGTGCTCAGGGGAGGAGGCCCCGCCTTCTCCCCACATGGGGCACTGGGCAGATTCAAGGGAAATGGTGTCTGCTTTCTACACACTTCCTCCTACCTTCCCCCTTCTCCCATTTGAGCCTGAAGGCGGACATCTGGCCCAAGAAGATCTCAAACTCTCTGATGACAACCTAGTGACTCCCTTTTTTAGTATTCTCCCAGAGCTGAGGAATATATGGACCGCATCCTGGGTTTGGTTTCAGGAGAGGACTCCTCCCAGCCCTGCCCCAGGTCCAGCCCTAAACAAATCTCTGAGATACGAGCTATTCACCTTCTGTCCTCCCAGAGCCTACAGTTCGGTGATGGGGAAAGCTACCTTTTCCAGTTCATCATCATCATCTTCATCATCAGTAGGATTTATTGCACCCTGCTGTGTTTCAGGCATTGTGCTAGATTCCTACCCTATTCTTTTCCTCCTTGCTGTCCCCACTTTAGAGTCACCAGCTCAGTGACATGCAGGACATGGATGTTGTACAAATGTCTTTTGGTCAATTGTGTCGTGTCCAAATAGTGGAGTATAAATGGCATAGCACAGGGACCAGCACCCAGGAGCACAGGGGTGCAGAGGTTCCCCAGAGCTCATCATGGCCTTAGTGGTGTGCTTAGAATTATGGTTACCATGGCGGAAGTTTGGGTTAAGATTGACTAGCACTAAGGTTGTGGTTAGGGTGACATTCTATTTAACAGTACGGTAGTGGTTAGGGTAAGATTAGAGGAATAACTTTAGCAGTGCAGCATTAGGGTGAGGTTTTAATCTTAGGATTGTGGTCAGGGTTGGGTTAGGGTTATGCTAAAGTAACATTTAGGACTGTGGGTGTTTTCGATTGTATGTGTGGTTGTTGTTCTAACCCACCATTGATGGAGCCTTATTGAATAAGCTGACAGTTTACAGGCACCACCTAATTTAATACTGGGGACAGCTCGGCACAGTGGCTAAGAGCATGGGCCACGAGTCAGACAGATCCCGGTTCCACTTGACTCGGTTACTCCCCAGTCGTGCTATCAAGTGTGTTCTTTCACCTCCCCGAGTCTCAATGTGAAAGACTGATGATACCAATACTGGCTGCGCAGAGCTGTGGTCAGAATAACACAAAGGAATGTGGATAAAGTGCCGGCTCACATAGGTAAGTGCTCAGTACTCGATAGCAAATACTTTTTCTTGTCTGGGTCAGTTAGAGTTCCAGCAGGAAAGGGATGGCACACTCGATGTATTTATTTACAAAAGCACTGGCAGAGTCAAGAGAAAACAATGAATAATGGTGGAGTATCCCAGGGTAGTTACGTAGGCAAGCTCTTACCCTCCAGGTCTAAAGGGGCAAGGGACCAGCAGTCATAAGAACCCAGGGTAGCTCAGGCTATAGGAGAGGGCCATGGACAGGGCTGCGGCCTCTGGTGGAGGAATGCAGCCACTGCTCACCTGCAGTACCTGTTGCGAGGGAGCTGGGAGGATCTGCACCTCCACTCACCCTTCTCCTGCCCTCTGACCTCCTGCCACAGTTCCCCACTGATGGAACTGGACCAGAAGGCAGAGGGCAAAGGAATCTCCCAGGACTCAGAGTGGGATGGAGAGGGATCCAGGGGCAAGTGGAAGATCTTCAGCACATTTGCCAGTCCTTGCCATGACCCTGTGAGGAGGGTATTCCCATGACTCCCACTTTGCAATGAGGACACTGAGGGTAAGGGCGATTCCAGCCTAGCTCTCCTCGACTTCAGAACTTGTGATTATAGTCATTGTGCGAACCAGCCTCCAGGGCATGTGAGCGTAGGCAAGTGCGGAAACATCCAGCTTGGCTTGGAAACTGCAGAGTACTGGGTTAGGCAAGGTATCCAGCGTCTTTTCAGAAAACTACAGAAGTCGGTGAGAGCCTGGAGCAGCATTCGGCCTCATTAAAATGTTAATGTATACAGTTTCCAGCACCGGACTTAAAATAACTAGTGACAATAAACATTTCAAGCTTGTAGCTATGTTCATAGCATCTAGCCAACTTAAATCCTGTAGGATTTTTGTTTGAAAGGAAGAGGCTGGGAGCAATGAAGCAAGAAAAGAGAGGAAAGACTGGCAAAGCTCTTTTTCAGATGGCCCAGGGAAGGTTCGCCCCATCCGGCTGCTTTTTACAGAACTGGCTGCTCACTCAGTGAGGGTCTCCCTCTGCGGGGGTATGTGTGTGTATGCGTGTGTGTGTGGCGGGGCGTGGGTGGAAGCTGTGGAGAGAACATGTCTCAAAAGTCATAATGGAGATTTTTTCAGGCTCCGTGAATTCTCCTTTTGAGCTCAAGTTTTTCAAATATGTATCAGGTTTCACCTCTTGTCCAGGACATAAAGGAGGTTTCTGATTTATGGGTCCGGTAGTTTTTCCAGTTACTCCATCTTTAAATCTGCCATCAGTTAATTAATTTGCCACGGTCAGAAAAGGCACTGTGAGCTTCCCAGGTGAAAATAACTTTAGCAAAGTATGATCACAGTTTAAAAAAAAAAAAAAGGGAGGCATTCTGAAACATACACTTGTTTCCACTTGTGAAATTAACTGAATCAGTGTCTCGGCACTCCTCCTCCTCCCCCTGTCATGGCGCATGCACACACACACACTCTCTCTCTCTCTCTCTCACACACACACACACAGACACACACACACACACACACACCCCACCTCTGCAGAAGGGCTAAAGGGGAAGATTTAAACCTGGCAGGATAATTTCCCAGAAAAGGATTAGAAGGGGAAAATGGATTAACTGCAAAGTCATCTGATGACTGTGTTGTATGAGGCTGCTTGGGACCCAGAGGGGTGTATTCGTCTGTCTGTGTCTATCTGTCTGCAGATGACACCGGGAAGATTGCTAAATGATTCCCAATAATGAAATGTGAAAACACATAGTTGCTTTGCTAGCCACATAGCTGTGGTTTTGTGTCTGTGATTCATGGTGGAAGTGAGTAGCTGCGACAAGCATTCTGTGGGTTTTTTTTTTTCTCCTTATTTCTCCTACAAAAATATTTGTGAAAGGTCTAAAAGGAAGTGGAGTACTTTTTGAAAAGAAAAAAAATCCCTGTTCCTTGCAAAACAAAGATTACAGATGAAAACTTCTGGAGCTACCACATTTCTGCTTCCAGATGTCGCCTACGCTGCATTTTCCTCCTGGAGCCTCAGCCCTGCCCACGATGTAACATGTCCACCCGCGAGTGCCCGCAGCAGAGGCCACTTGAGGGAGTCTGCATCTGCAGGGGTCTGGCGGTATCCTCTCAAGACCCCAGCCAGGCCACGCCCTTCCAGGGGAGAAAAATTAATTCCACATTTCTTTCTTTTTTGATGTTCTTGGGACAAGGTCAGAGGCTCCACAAAATGCAGTAGCGTGTGAGGGCAGAATTGTGAAATAATTTATGTCTTAAATAAACCTGAGTTTGAATCTCAGCTCCACCACTTAGCTATGCAGCCTACAGTGAGTGATTTAACCTTGTGAGCTTCAGTGTTCTCATCTGTAGGCTGGGGATGATCATTGCTACCTTATGGAATTGTCAGAAGGATTGACTAATCCACGTAAGTGCATCTGGCACATTTTTGGTCCTCTATAAATGACACCCAGTCTTTTTTGGTGGGGAGGAGGATGGAGTCTCGCTCTGTTATCCAGGCTGGAGTGCAGTGGCATGACCTCGGCTCACTGCAACCTCTGTCTCCCAGGTTCAAGCAATTCTCCTGCCTCAGCCTCCTAAGTAACTGGGGAATTACAGGTGCCCACCACCATGCTCAGCTAATTTTTGTATTTTTAGTAGAGACGGGGTTTCACTATGTTGGCCAGGCTGGTATCGAACTCCTGACCTCAAGTGATCCGCCCACCTCAGCCTTCCAAAGGGCTGGGATTACAGGCATGAGCCACCGTGCCCACTCTTTTTTTTTTTTTTAATATAAAGAAAAGTGGTTTATTTGGTTCATGGTTCTGTACATTTGTTCAAAGTCTCACCGTACCCACTCTTACTTGTCCCCTGCCTCGGGGGTTATCTGAGCCTTTCAGAAATGCAGCAGCGGTCATCAGAAACTTTGAGAATTTGCCCAGAGCACTTGAAGGTGTTTCCAGACCTGGGAGGTTTCTGGTCACAGCCAAGGGTGAGCAGCAGGGTGGGGAAGGGAATCTCATCCCCCAGAGGCAGACAGAGCTCAGCCTGAAGACCCTGGCCCAGCACTTCCCTGCTGGGGATGACCCCGGGCAAGTTAGCAGGCTCCCTGTGCTTCAGTTTTCTCTTCTGTAAAATGGGGACACTAGTTCCTGTATCATAGGGTTGCTGTACTAATCAAGTAAATAAAAAAATAAAATGCCTTAGCAGAGGCCTGGCACATCATAGGTTGACAGATTTGGGCTGCTAGATTGCTGAATGGAAGCTTTCCAGGTTGGGGCCCTAGTTCCCATAGAAATCTCCTTTTGTTTATGGCCCCGGGGTAAATTTCCAGCCCCTGTGAGAGCGGAAAGGGCAGGCTGGGACTTTGGCCAGTTCCTGAAAGTGTATCTTTGACCCAGGTCCCTAGCTGCCTTAGTCTACAGTGTGCTTGTCGGGGCAGGCCCACGAGTGGGGTAAACACATCTGGAGTCAGGCCTGTGTTTGCTGTTCAATAAGCCAGACCTGCTAAGCTTGTGCATGGGCATGTGTGGGGGCGCATCATGGAGGGTGGAAGGGTCCTGAAGGCCATGAGCTGGGAACTCAAGGGTTCAGGAGGTGAGCATCTCATGGCCAAGTTAGTGGTGGTGAGATGTTTGTATACCAGGTTTGCTGTGGCTTTGGGAAAGAGTCCTAGCTCAATCCCCTCAGCCTAGGTGTCTCTCCTCCCCTTCCTCCAGCCCCTCCTCCAATCTCCTGTAGCACTTGCCAGGTCCCTAGGCCCTGCCTTGCATTTTCATTCCCTTTTCATGGCTGCAGCTCTCCAGCCACTTCTGGTTTTCATACACTTCCTTGTAGTTAATGCAGCATCACCATGGCAGCTTGTGGAGGGAGTTTGGCTGCAGTGATGGGAGGGGTGAGATGAGCTTTAGAGCCTGGCAGTCCTGAGCTTTAGGACTGTGGGTTTTGCCGTTCATGAGATACGTGAGCTTGGGCCAGCTACCTTCCTCCTTCATGCCGCAAATTTCTCATAGGTCATAGTGGGGCAGAGACACCTATGTCTTAGGTTCTTGTTAGGGGACCTTTATAAGGTCATGTGTGTTTGGTGCCTGGTGCTCAGCCTGTGTTTAGTAAGTATAGCAATTATTTCATCAAGACAGGTTGTGTGGGAAGGACTCTGACGCCCCAGCAGATACCCAGAGGAAGAGATACCAGTGGACAAATCTCATTATAGTCTGATCTCTGCCCCTCAGCACAGCTGGCTTCTGTCATTGGACCTGGGAGGAGTAACCCCCTTTTGGCATGAGCAGATGCCCTGTTCTAATAGCCAGGGGAAACCCAGGCCTTGATCTGAGCTCCAGCAGCACGTCTGTACACAACTTTAGTCCTTCAGTTCAACATTCCCAGTGTCTGCCCACCCAAAGAACCTGTGCTAAGAGGGGGTCTCCTGCAATTAGACCCCATAACACATTCCAAGTGGTAAGCCAGGAATAAATAACCTTCTCCTGTGTGAATCTCATACTTCCTATTAATCATTCTTCCATTCATTCAGGCCAGTTGGAAGAAAGGATGCTAAAAAGAGGGATGTTCTCTGAGTCGGGCAACTGACAAGGATTTTGTTCAGACTTGGCCACCCTTCTTTCCCTCCCTCCCTCCCTCCCTCCCTCCCTGCTTCCCTTCTTCCCTCCTTCCCTCCATCTCTATCTTCATTCCAGGCACTAGATGACTTGGACCCATGCCTCGCCTCTAAGAGCTCACATCCAGCGGTTTGACATGCTCAAGCAGCTACAGCACACCCAGCCCTTGGGAAGCTTTTGCAAGTGCTCTAGGAGACAAGGAGGGGAGCATCCCTGGGCAGTGTGGGTAATAGGGGTAGGTAGGGGGCCTCCAAGGGGAGTTTTCCATGACTATTTTTAACCTTGTTACTTTCTGGTGAAAACACTTTTTTCAAGGCTTCCTTTTCAAGCATGAGGTTCATAGGATGAGGCCCAGACTGTTGGCCTTCTGTACTAGGTCCCGAAGTATAGTTCTCAAGATGGTGCAAAGATTCGTGGTATAGGCTCTGGAACTAGAATATCTGCAGAATGCCTGTATTTGATTCCTAGTCATTGACTATGTGACCTTAAGTAAGTTACCTAGCTTCTTTATGCCTCATCTGGAAAAGGGATAATAATAATACCTACTTCCTAATTTTAATGGTGGTTAACTGAATTAATATATGTAAAGTGCTTAGCACAGTGCCTGGCATATGATTAGCACTATGTAACTGTTGGCTATTATTATTCTCATCCTTGACTCCTCCTATTTCTCTTTAATCAGACAGGTCTGATTATCCCTGAACACCATGCCAGCACATTCCTGAATATGTCCGTTTATGCTTGTGGCTCTCTCTGCACTCCCCACCCCTTCCTCCGGCTCATGTCTCCCACCCTCTGGAAAGCATTCCCCAGTGATCCAGCCCCACGGCCGCGCTGGAACATGCTGGCTGGACAGCTTACCTGGCCATAAGACTCCTGGCTTCTGCCCCTCTCCTCCATCTCTGCTCTTGGATTGTTATGAAATGCTCGCATGCAGGGGGCTGGCCCGGGGCTGCTGTATATAGTGTACCTGCTGTGTCCTGCACAAGGGTGCCAGGCAGGAGATGAACCCTGGGGCCAAAATCTAGCCTGTGTTCTGCTCACCCAGCACCGGGACCACGCTACATCAGCCTGAAGGAAGTAGGGCAACTTCTGTAAACTGGCTGCCCAGAGAGGCCTCTTGTGATTTGTGCGAAGGCACCAGGTATGCTCGGCCTCTCCCTACCCCCTGCCCCCCAGTCTGGGTGGCAAGCTCTTGGTGGGAAAGATGCCCTTTGCATAATGCCTGATGGGACGGTGCACGTTGGCGGTGGTTGAACGACGAATTCATGAAATCCAGGTTCACCGTGTGCTGACAAGTCTTCCCGAGGGAACTCGGAGCCAGGGGCCTCAGACTGCCTGCGGGCCCTGGGTGGCTGAGGAATGGGGCCCAGCTAGGGCTGGGGAGATGGTTCCAGTGAGGCAGGAGGACTGGGAGAAGCCATGGAGAAGTCTGAAGTTGAGTGTGAGAAATATTTTCAGGGCAGCAGCTGTGTGCCCAGCGCTGTGACGACTCCATGGAAGATATGAAGAGGGTAAGGCCCAGTCCCTTCCCTCCTGGGGGTCTGTGTCCCCCGCCGAGCTGCAACCCTTTGGGTGGTCCAGCTGGGCCCAGAAGGAGACAGGGAAGCACTTAGAGGGGCTCTTTTTCCTGGTGGGAAGAAGAGGGCTATCGCCACAGCAGCTGGACACATGGGCAAGCTAGGGAGAAAATGAGGGGCATTTCCTGGAGCCCTGAGAACCTCTCAGGGCCACCCCCACCCCGCCTCTGCCCCTGAGGTGGCCCGGGTGTGAGCCCAGTGCCCAGGCAGCTCGCTCTGGCTCTCTTGCCTGGCTCTCTTACCCTGCCAGGAGGGAACAAAGGCCGCGCAGGATCTCGAGGGGCCAGGGCTTGGCAGCCCGGCAGCCTAAAGGCTGGCTGCTCGGTGGAAAAGTGTTCACAGTGGACCAACACATGAGGGGGCTGGAGGGTGGAGGGGAGAGATGTGGCTCCTAGGAGTCTCTGGACCCTTTAGAAACTGAGGCAGCACCTACTTCAGGGCTGCCCTTGAGGGGGGACCGGGCTGCAGGCAAGGGCTGGGTGCCCCTCCCTGACATTAACCCCGACACGCAGAGCTCATGCCTCCCTCCGTCTCCCTGCCTGAAACAGGAATGCTGTGTTCCCTTGAGCTGTCTGGGAAGCAGGGCAGGGTGTGGTCTGGACAGGAGAGACTGCCCCAGGGCTCTACCTCCTCCCCACCCACAGCCTGGCAGGGTCATCCCCTGGGGTCTGTGTGCTGGGGAATCCAGTCCTTTCAGACCTAGGTGTGGCCATAGGAAGAGCTAGAGGCCCAGAGCCTCAGAGCACTGGGGATGTGACTCATGGCAGCCAGGTGGGGTGAGTGGGGTGCCTGGAGCTGACTGATGAGGGCAAAGAGGTTGGGTGGGTGCGCCAAGCAGACACAGCAGCAGGAGTGATCTTGAGACTCCTTGGGGACACGGGGGAGAGGGCTGGCTCTCGACCCTTTAGGATAGGCACCAGGGAATGTTGATGATGCCCTATCAGCGTGCCAGGCAACAAGAAGGTACAGATTCCAATCCAGGCTCTGGGCCCGTTGAACATGCTGTCCCTACTCGTCTCCCTATCTTAGGTCCCCAGGGGTTTGGCAGCCAAGGGCCTGCCTGGCCAGACAGGAGGAGAAAGGAGCAGAGCTCTGCAAGGGCCTTCCTCTGCCTTGCCAGCACCCAGATCCTCAGGGGAGACCAAGCCATCAGGGAAACACAGGGCATGTTAAGCTGAAGTGAGCTGCCCCTGCAGCCGCAGGAAGGAGCAGCCTCTGCGCTTTGGCCGGCAGCAGAGAGAGTTCTGGGAACGCCTTCCTCTCTTGGAGCTTTCTCCTAGATCCTTCCTATTCCTCTGGCTGCTCCCTTCCAGATGCCTTCAGAGCCTCTCCCTCTGTCTGCCTCTTAAGCGTTGGTGTTCCCTAGGCCCCCTCTGCCCTTCTTTGTTCTCTTTCCTCTTACATTTCTCAAACTGTTTAGGTGTCAGAACACCTGGAAGTCATAAGGAGTACCACGAAATATCAATATACTTAATTTCATGATTAGAGCTGGGAACAGTTTTATTAGCAGAAACTATGACGATTGTCTATGTATGCATAAAAAAAATTAAAAAAAAAAACCCAGCTATAGGCACACGCACGTGTCCGTGAAAAGCGCAAACTGTGGGATGAAGTATGATAGGCTGTTGCCACATTTTTCCGTTAATATTAATTTACGGCTTGTTCGTTTGTTTAATCGTGTGCTAGCAGACAAGTGGTAGCAGGCGCCAGAGGTTGGAGAAGAATTTATGGGAGCAAGACTTAGAACTGAGACCATTCTGTTCATTATTACATTTTCCCCTTTTAAATTGGAAAACGTTGGCAGAGTTAACGCCCCAGTCAGGCAGTGGCACTCTGAAGCATGGTTTGTTCTGCCTGCTTTCCTCGAATGATATCATCCTTCCCTCTTAACTCTACAGCTACCACCTCTACTCTTACAACCTCCTCCCAGCCCCAACTGTGTCTACAGCCCCAAAACTCTCTCCCAAGTTCTGCCTCCTGGGTGTTTCCATCTCAAGATACCAAGCACTCATTATATCCAAAACTGAGCCCATCATTCACTTCTTGGATTTCTCATGTTGAGATCTTGGCTCTTGGAACTCCCTCCACCTATTAGTCCAAGTCATAGCTGGGAATTATCTGTCTCTACATCTGAAATAGCCCTTGCATCCATGCCTTCTTCTTGGTTCTTTCCTCGGCCACTGATAGCCTAGACCACAGCCAAAGCCTTCCAGCTGGCCTCCAGCTCGCCTCTCTTTAGTCCACTCTCTACCAGGTGGTCTTTCACTGCAATAATCATCATTTAAGAATGCCCATCCCAACATGTCCTAGGCCTGCTTGAAGACCACGAGTGACTTGAGGCTAACATGTGGCTTCCCCTCTGCCCCCTCACCTTTGCTAGGGTACTAGTCCCTTTGTCCACCCCGCATTGGAGCTTAGGGGACAAAAGACTTCAACCAAGGTTGGAGTTTTTGCCATCCCTGGGGTCAGTGCATGGCCTGTAACAGGCACTCAGTACTTGCCCTTTGAATGAGTGAAAAAGTGTAGCTGTTCTTCGGACCGGGTCATTTCCTGCTTCAAAATCTCAGGACACTCCCCTTCACCCACTCAGTACAGCCCAGACACCTCCCTGAATATTTCAAGACCTTCACCATAAGGGCACAGACCTATTCTTTAATCCCTCAAAGCCTCAATGTCCTCATTTGTAAAATGGCGATAAAGAAACGATTAATGGTAGATTTAGGATGAAGTTACCTGGTTTGGTAACCTGGCCTCAGCACTTAGGAGTTCAGCCACCTTCTGCAAGGCATAGAACCCCCATAGCCTCTGTTTTCTTGACTATAAAATGGGGATAATGAGTATCTAAGTCTTAGGATATGGAGAGCTCTATGTGAGAGGATGCACGTAATGGGCGTTATTGGCACAGAACATGGCACAAAGAAAGTGTCATTAAATTATAGCACCAGTTGGCTGGGCCTGGTGGCTCACACCTGTAATCCCAGCACTTTGGGAGGCTGAGGTGGGCGGATCACCAGGTCAAGAGTTCAAGACCAGCCTGGCCAATATGGTGAAACAAAAACAAAAAAAAATTAGCCTGGCATGGTGGCGAGCACCTGTAGTCCCAGCTACTCAGGAGGCTGAGGCAGAAGAATTGCTTGAACCTGGGAGACGGAGGTTGCAGTGAGCCGAGACTGCGTCACTGCACTTCAGCCTGGGCAACAGAGTGAGACTCTGTCTCAAAATATATATATAAAAATATATAAAATATAAATATATATATATAAATATATATATAAATATATATAAATATATATATATAAATATATATATAAATATATATATAAATATATATAAATATATATATAAATATATATATAAATATATATAAATATATATAAATATATATAAATATATATAAATATATATATAAATATATATATAAATATATATAAATATATATATAAATATATATATAAATATATATATAAATATATATATAAATATATATATATAAATATATATATAAATATATATATATAAATATATATATAAATATATATATAAATATATATATAAATATATATATATAAATATATATATAAATATATATATATAAATATATATATAGCACCAGTTTATTCCCTACCCACCCACTTCCCACTTCCTGTTCTCCACCCTGCCACATACGTAGGTAACCACTGTTATTAATATTCCAGGGTATCCTTCCAAGGTTGCTTTATGAATATGCAAATAACTGCAACATATATCCTTATTTTCTGTATGTTACACAGGAGTTCACATGCCCTACACCAGGAGCCAGCAGACTTCCATAAATGGCCAGACAGTAAATATTTTAGATTTTCTGTGACATATGGTTTCTGCAACTACTCAGCGGTGCCATTGGAGAGCAAAACCAGTCACAGATGAGGAGGGCAGCTGTGTTCCAGTTAAACTTTATAGATGCTTAAATTTGAATTTCATATCATTTGCTCATGTCTTGAGGTATTATTCTTTTTTTGATTTCTTTTCCGCCATTTAAACATGTGAAAACCATTGTTAGGTCATAGTCTGTACAAAAACAGTCAGTGGTGGGATTGGGCTGTTGTGCTTTCACTTTTCAGTGTATCTTGGAAAGCTTAACTTATTGATGTAAAGGAGCTGCCGCTGTGTTTCCAGGGCCTATTACCCCATTCTGCCAGCAGATCCTTGTTTGTTTAACCAATCCCCTACTGAAGGACACTTAAGTTGTTTTCATTCTGTACAAACTATTTTGCTATTACAAAATAGTGCTTCTGTAAATAGTCTTGTTCATGTATCATTTTGGACATTTACGAGTGTCTTAGGTCGGGTCCCCTAGAGGTGGGATTCCAGTGTGTGTGATTTTGCGGGGGAAATGCGAAAGGAAAGAAGAAAGCAGTGTGGGAAAGGGGAGAGAGCCAAGTAAAGATGTGGTCCCAGGTAAATCAAGCTTTGACCTGATTGAGGATAGAGCTTACAAAGTTGTTTCTCCTTAAGGCCTGGGGGCCCAGGCTTTTGAACTTCCCTTTCAGGCAGTCATTGGCTGTGTGGTCATGGTGGTGGGAGGAGCTTCTCAGGTGGTTCCCATCAGCCAAGAGCATGGCTTGGAAGAAATCACAGGTATAAGCCTTTAGCTGCTACACTTGCAGATACACAAGCCAGAAAGGGGACCAGGGCAGGGCAGCAACACCTACCACAGAAGGTTTATCTGCAGGATAGTCTTGGAGGTGGAGCAGCAGGGTCAAAGCACAGATGCATTGGGATGTGGATAGACGTTGCCAAATTGCTTTCCAGAAGGGTCATGTCAATTTACATTCCTGCCAGCAGCATCCGAGAGCGTCTGTTTCTGCATAGTCTCACAAATGAGTATGTTATTAAACCTTTGGGTTTTTTTCTAATCTGATGGATTAAAAAATGCTACCTCAGCATAGTTTTCATTTGCACATCCCTTACAAGGAGAAAGGTTAAGCATATTTTTCTGGGTTCAAGAAATATTTGTATTTTTTTTTCTGTGACCTGTTCATATTCCTTGCTGATTTTTCTTTTAAGGCTGTTGGTCTCTGACATTTCTGTTTCTAGGAACTCTGATATTATGGAGACTCATCTTTTCTCTCTGATACGAGTTGCACATATTTTTCCCACCATGTCATTTGTCTTTTTACTTTAAGGTGGGTTTGGCCAAGCAGGGGTTTTTGATCATAGAATTGTTTGGACAAGTAAATGATATATTAGCTAAAACACTTAGCATGATACCTGCCACCTGATAGGCATTGAATTGGAATGATTTCCCTTCCCCCCTCTCCCCTCTAATCTGTGCTTTACCCAAATGGTGCTTATTCTTCTTCAAACATGGCCTGTGCTTCCCACCTCCATGCACTTCTTATGTTATTTTTCTTTTCTTTTCTTTTCTTTTTTTTTTTCTGAGACGGAGTCTCACTCTTGTCACCCAGGCTGGAGTGCAGTGGTGCAATCTCGGTTCACTGCAACCTCCACCTCCCAGGTTCAAGTAATTCTCCTGCCTCAGCCTCCAAAGTAGCTGGGATTACAGGTGCCCACCAACACGCCCAGCTAATTTTTGTATTTTTAGTAGAGACAGCGTTTCAGCATGTTGGCCAGGCTGGTCTCAAACTCCTGACCTCAGGTGATCCATCCGCCTCGGCCTCCCAAAGTGCTGAGATTACAGGCTTGAGCCACCGTGCCTGGCCCTTATGTTGTTTTTCTAATCTGGAATGTCTGCCTCCTCATTTTGGGTCTGTTAAAATCCTATCTATCCCTGAAGCTCCCTGGATCCTTCTCCTAGATATGGTCTGTATTCTATCTGAACTCCTGTACCTCTGCTCTCCAACACAGTCCATCGTGGGTCCTAGTTATGTGTACACATTCACCATGCTTTTTCTGAGCCTCAGTTTCCTTAGCTATAAAATGGAGTTGCTGGGAAGAATAGAGATTTATTTTGATTACAAAACAAATACATGTTTATTCCATGTGATGCATATTTATTGTAAAAATTTCAAAAATATTGAAATGATAAAGTTTAAAATAGGAGGTACACACACACAGACACTCTCATTCTTAAAGAGTGGCCACTATTTACAGATCTTCCGGCCTTTTCCTATGCTTATATAAACATCTGTAGGGGAAGAGAGAGAGAAAAGCTTTTCTTAAAACACAAAACTAGAAGCATACTATCCATATATTCTGCAACTCAGTTTTTTCATTCACTAAAATAACATAGATAAGATGATGTATATAAAATATCTGGCTTCATGTTCATAATGATAATTACAACTATTCTATGCATCTTTTTTTTTCTTTGAGAGGGAGACTTGCTCTGTCACCCAGGCTGGAATGCAATGGCGTGATCTCGGCTCACTGCAACCTCTGCCTCCCGGGTTCAAGTGATTCTCCTGCCTCAGCCTCCTGAGTAGCTGAGACTACAGGTGCCCACCACCACGCCCGGCTAATTTTTGTATTTTTAGTAGAGACAGGTTTCACCATGTTGGCCAGGCTGGTCTCGAACTCCTGACCTCAAGTGATCTGCCTGCCTCAGCCTCCCAAAGTGCTAGGATTACAGGCATATTCTATGCATCTTTAGTAACACTCTTAAATTTTTTTTAGCAGCAAGAGCCTTTCCAAACAAAATAGTACAGTCATCCCTCGATATCCACAGGGAATTTGTTCCAGGACCCCTGTGAATACCAAAATTCATGGATGTTCAAGTCTCTGATATAAAATGACATAATGTTTGCATATAAGCTACGCACATGCTCCCATATACTTTAAATCTTCTCTAGATTACTTATAATACCTAATACAGTGCAAATGCTAATAGTTGTCATACTATATAATTTTTATTTGTATTATTTTTCATTGTTGATTGCTATTTTTGGGGGTTTTCCCCCCAAATATTTTCCATTCACAGTTGGTTGAATCTGCAGAGGCAGAACCCATGGATATGATGGGCCAGCTGTTTTTGGAAGCCCGATTTATGAAGTAAATAGAGGAGAGCAGCCAGGCTAGGGTGAGGGTGAATGGGGTAGAGGGCACAGAGCTCCTCGCCCACTTGTCTTCCCATCGCTGTTGGGAAACCTTAGTGTGTCGGGCAGGGTGTGGGCACACCTTGCACATTTCAGTAAGTGGCATCATTATGGGTACAGACTGCCCAGGCAGCTTTCTTGTGGGCCTGAAGACCCCGGCCACTGGGATGAGAATTTTTCCTCATCTTGGTTGAAAAGCCCAGAGTCCACAGTTGAGAACAGACTGTGGTGGATCTGGTGGCTGTCTCTTGGCTCTGTGCTGGCCTGTGATGGGGATTTCATGATCCATAAAGAAATGAAGAAAATAAAGTCATTTGGTGAGATTTCCATGAAGTTAGGCTTATTCAAACGTTTCTTTTTTGGCTCTGAAATGTCTTTTCTTTCGTGAAATTATGGTGGTAGTGATTGGCAGTTTTGTGTGTGTTTGTCTTAAAGTCTTAGCAACCTAAATAAAAAGCGACTTTATGTTGTTCCCCCAATTTTGTTCCAAAATCTTACGGATTCATGAAATCCTGAAGTCTAGAGATGACTTTTTGGTCCATTGTGGAGGCTTGGCCAGGACTTCCCTGGAACAGTCCCAGAAAGATAGCAAGTTCCATTCTTGTGCTGGGTGAGTTTGGGAACCTCTGTCCTTTGATGAAATTGCAGCGGTTCTTCCAAGGCTGATAGTAGATGGAGCATCTCCTGGGGGCTGTGGTCACCTTCTCATTGAGACTTGCCTTCTTCTGTTACCAGACCTCTACTGTCCTTAATCGGGGGGATACTGCTTCTTTGGACCAGCCTGGGGCAAACATGGCACCAGACCCTTCTCTTGATGTCCCACAACCTGAGACTAGGAAAGAACATGCAAACAGGATTTGGCTAAAGGCTTGCGATTTGCTTAAAGGAAATGAGTGCAAAGATAACACAAGGCTAGACAGTGGGGTTTGCAAACTCCACAGCTCACAGTCTCCACTCCATCCTAGCTGCCTGTGCCCTTCTATGGGGTGATGGCAGTGGTAACCAATTGGAGACCACCAGGGATCCAGAGTTGAGCCAAGAACCTGCAGCCCTCCACACAGCGAGAGCCTCTCTCGCTGCTCACCTCTGAGGCCTAGGCTGGGACTTATAAAGGGAGTTATCAACCTCCTTATATGGATGCTTTAGGAATAAGAGGCAGGACCTATAAAAAAACCTGGGAGCTTCTTCCTTTACTCCACGACGAGCCTCTCAGAATGCAGGGCTTTTTTATTTCTGTCATTTAACCCCAAATCCCCATTAGAGTAGTAGGTGACAATGAATTAGGCTCAGAGGACTCCGGTTGTTAAAAATGTGTTGACACCAGATTAGACACTTGGCCCTGTGTATATATAAGGACACTTGGACAGCAATAACACTTTTTTCTGGAGTCTTTTTATTTCCCTTAAAGAAGAACTTTAAGTGGCCCAGTCATGTTTTCTTATTTGCTTGGGGAGATGTATTTAGTCCAAACTGTAGCTAACTCCTTTTTTCCTCCTTGTTTCTGCAATTTAAAAATTCTGGCGTATTTTTCTACTTTGACCATTTACTTGTATTTGTGAAATAATTGCATGGTCTCACTGTTCTCGTCATCCTCACACCAGCCCTATGAGGTGGGCATTGCTATTCTTGTTTCAGTGATGAGGATTCTGAGGCTCAGGGGAGCTAAGTGACTTGCTCAAGGCTGTGCTGCTAGTAAGAGGCAGAACCAACATCTGTCTGGCCCAGTCCCAACCCCTCCCCTCTGTACAGCCAGGTCCTGTCTATGACTAGGGAATACATGGTTTGTTTATTTGGTTTTCCTCTCTGCAAAACTACCCAACTGGCCCTTAAGGGATTTGAACCCTGGGATCTTGGTGCCATGAGCTCTGAGCACCAATTAGAGAAAAAACTGACAGCAGCAATAACATAACAATGACAACAAACCACCAAGAAAGAACACTTTGAGTTTCCATCCTGACCAGACTGGAGAGCTCTTTGTCAGGGTCAAGTTCAGAAAAGTGGCAGTGGTCTGGGCAGAACATGAGCTACTCTTTTCACCTCTCTGGGATGCTCTGTGGCGCTGCCACTAACCTGAGCATGGCACCAGCCTGGTACCCAGGACGAGGCTCCCAGTGAGCCAGCAGTTCAGCCACCTCTCTCTCCCAGGCGCTTTCTTGGAAGTCCTCGGAGGGAGTTTGCTTTCTTTTTTGTTTTGTTTTTTTGAGATTGAGTCTCACTCTGTTGCCCAGGCTGGAGTGCAGTGGGGTGATCTTGGCTCACTGCAACCTCCACCTCCTGGGTTCAAGCGATTCTCGTGCCTCAGCCTCCCCAGTAGCTGGGACTACAGGCATGTGCCACCAAGCCCGGCTAATTTTTGTGTTTTTTGATGGGGTGTCTCTCTGTTGGTCAGGCTGGTCTCGAACTCCTGACCTTAGGTGATCCTCCTGTCTCAGCCTCCCAAAGTGCTGGGATTATAGGCATGAACAACTGTGCCAGGCCAGTCCTAGTTTGCCTTCTGCCAGGAAAGCATAAGGAGTTTGCTCATGGCCTGGTCACCAAGGGCTAACAGAACTGGGGTGGAGATTTGGGGAGGGAGAGAATCCCAGGGCCTTATCCCACTTGGGCAAGGAAACCAGTGGGGAGGGTTGGCATGGGACCTACTGGGGGAAGGGATGCCCCCGAGGCCTGAGCAGAGGCTTCCAGGCTGAGCTCCCACTGGGGTCTGGGCTGGTTGTCGGCTGGCGCAGGACACAGGTTGTGGATCAGGCCCTGGGTTGGCATCCTGGTGTCCCCATTTAGCTCTTGTATAACCTTGGGCAAGGACTGAGCCTCTCTCAGCTTTGATGTCTGCAATACGCTTACACCCACCACAGTCCAGACACTGTCGTATACACAGTGGTTCATAGACATTGTGACAATGACAGAGTATTTACAACAGAGGCTGCCTTTTAGAACAGCCTGCCCAATAATAAACATCAAGAGAATGTGTCCAAATGTATGAGACAATTCAAGCAGTTAAGATGTCAAAGGACATGAGCGGAGGATTTTCACAAGTGGTAAATAAATACCTGAAATATTTTAACCTCAAAAATAATTTTTTAAAGGAGAGAAGGGAGGTGAAAAGAACATTGAAGTACCACTTTGTGCTTATTCAAAGCTAGCAAAGTATTAAAAATTAATAATATGCTGTGCTGGCAAGATTGTGCTCTAAGTGGTTCATTTATATATTTGGATGCAACCCTTTCAGAAAGCAATACACCAGTGTGTGCCTCCAGACATAAATGTTTGTAACCTTTGATACAGTCATTCTAGCCCCAGGAATTCATCCTAAAGTTTTTGTTTTGTTTTGCTTTTTTGAGATGGAGTCTCCCTCTGTTGCCCAGGCTGGAGTGCAGTGGCATGATCTCAGCTCACTGCATCCTCCACTTCCTAGGTTCAAGTGATTCTCAGCCTCAGCCTCTCAAGTACCTGGGACCACAGGCATGCACCACCACACCCAGCTAATTTTTGTATTTTTAGTAGAGATGGGGTTTCACCATGTTGACCAGGGTGATCTCGAACTCCTGGCCTCAAGTGATCTGCCCGCATGGACCTCCCAAAGTGCTGGGATTACAGGCGTGAGCCACCACGCCCAGCCTCATCCTAAAGTTTTAATCCTTTCAAGATGTTTCCTATAACATTTTTTCAAATATACAAAATAAAATAGAATAGTACAACAAATCTCCCTGTACTAAAGGAATATTTTAACAGAAGACAAAGTCATATAGGTAAGGATGTACACATTTAAAACTTAAAAACAGTCCAGGTGCAGTGGCTCACGCCTGTAATCCCAACACTTTGGGAGGCCAAGGTGGGCGGATCACCTGAGGCCAGGAGTTCAAGACGAGCCTGGCCAACATGGCAAAATCTTGTCTCTACTAAAAATACAAAAAATTAACCAGGAGTGGTGGCGGGCTCCTGTAATCCTAGCTACTGGGGAGGCTGAGGCAGGAGAATTGCTTGAACCCAGGAGGCAGAGGCCGCAGTGAGCTGAGATCGCGCCATTGCACTCCAGCTTGGGCAACGAGAGCAAAACTCGGTCTCAAAAACAAAAACAAGCAAAAAACTTTTTAAAAAATCTAAATATGTAACAGGTAAATGTCTAAATAAGTTGTGATTCATCTTTAGCTGGACTATCATATAGCGATGAACATGACAAATATGACAAATTGAATTGTGTAAAGTGTGATCTAATGTTAAGTGAAAAACGGAATTTAAAATTGTATCTCTAGGTGATGACAATAGTGTAAAATCATATACGTGAGCAAAGGTTGAAAGAAAATATGCAAAAGTAGTTGCTGTGTTAGGATGGGAGATGATGAATTCATGTTTTTCTCCTTGAATATTGTTGTTACATTATTCTTACAATAAAAATCAATGAGAGGGAGACTCTAGGCTCTGCCCTGAATCAATCTTGAAGGTGTGTTTGTTGGGCACCTCTTCTACAGGTAATTCATATTAAGGGATATATTAAGAAGTGGTAGGGAGTAGGTACAGGACTTGGTTTTAGGGCAGGGGCTGGTCCATAGTGGGTTCTCAAAGACTTCTGGAATGTCAGAGCTACGTGAGGACCGTCTAACACCCCCATTTTGCAGTTAAGGGTCCTGGGGCCCAGAGGAGCTAAGTGATTTGCCCGGAATAACCCACCAAAAGCCTGGTGATTCCACATAGGGGTTGGTATTTCTACAAAACTAGCCGGCAGGCCTTAGATCAGTCCTTCTGCCTCAGGGCACCTTCATGTCTGGGAGTCAGCCATACATGGGTGAGAAGGCAGCCAGAGAGCATTTTTCTTGTGCAAAGGCAGAGAGTGGGTGGCTGGATGAGGAGTGGCACAGACACACTGTTCCCAGGGTGCAAACCCCCGTGCCGCGGTTGTCTCCACAGGACCCTGAGTGGCCTCAGCCAGACCCACCCTTCCCAGCAGCACGTGGGGTTGTCCCGCACTGTCCGACTTCACCCGACTGCCACGGCCAGTAGCCAGCTCTCTTCCAACGCCCTGCCCCCGGGACCAGGCCTTGAGCAGAGAGATGGCACCCAACAGGCGGTACCTCTGGAGCACCCCTCATCCCCCTGGGGTAAGGATACCCTGTCTTGGGTCCTAGAAGAGCAGGGCCTCTAGAACTCTCTTCTCCCACCTTGGCTTCCCCCTCTGCTCTCACAGAGGGGCTGAGTTGTCACCTTGTCCCTCATTCTTTCAGCCAATCAACAAACGCTTGTTGAGCACCTGCTTTGTGCCGGGGTCCAGGGGTCCTAAACCGGTGGACCTGGACTTCACCCCGTTGCAACCTTTAGACCTAGACTGCTCTATTTCTGCCCAATCTATCATCCCCTCCTGCCTTTGCTTCCCTCATATCCCGCTGTGAACCTCAACTCCCTGGTCCCACTCGTTCCACCTCATCCCTCCTACAAACCCCAACTCTCCTGGATCAACCCAACCAGTTGTTACCTCAGCACCTACAGCTGCGCCTCTGCTTCCCACAGAATCTCTGTGGATTCACGCCATGGCACACTCTTTGTTATTGCCTGACAACCCCTCCCTGTGTGCCTGGACATTTTCTCCCTCCATTTCTCAGAGCAGCTACTCCAGGCCTCCCCTCCCCTCCCCTCCTTTCCCGAGGCCCCATCCATCAGCCCACAGACATGCCCCCACCTCCCAGAGAGCTCCTCAACTTCCTGCCTATCACACCCACCACTACCCTGTTTACATCTGTGCCTGAGCTCACCTCCTTCCTTTTTTTTCCATTTTAAAAATTGAAGTGGAATTCACATAACATAAAATTAACCATTTTAAAGGCTACACTGCAGTGGCTTTTAGTGTATTTATAATTGTGTGCAACCGTCACCACTATTTCATTCCACAACATTTTTATCACTCCAAATAGAATCCTTGTACCCACTAAGCAGCAGTCACTCCTTATCTCCCCTCCTATCCCTGGCAACCACTCACCTATTTCCCGTCTCTATAGATTTGCATATCCTTGACATTTTACATGAATGGAGTCGTACAATGTACCATCTTTTGTGTCTGGCTTCTTTCACTTAGCGTTACATTTTCTTTTCTTCTCTTTTTCTTTTTTAAGAGACAGAGTCTTGCTCTGTTGCCCAGGCTGGAGTGTGGTGGCATGATAACAACTCACTATAATCTCAAACTCCTGAGCTCAAGTGATCCTCTCACCTCAGACTCCAGAGTAGCTGGGACTACAGGCATGCACCACCATGCCCAGCTAATTTTTAAATGTTTTGTAGAGATAGGGTCTTGCATGTTGCCCAGGCTGGTCTCAAACTCCTGGCCTCAAGTGATCCTCCTGCCTCAGCCTCCCAAAGTACTGGGACTGCAGGCGTGAGTTCCTGTGCCTGGCTTAGCATAACGTTTCTGAGGTTTATCCATGTTGCTGTGTGTATCAGTGCTTCATTCCTTTTCATGGTTGACGATTCCTTTCACGCCATCTTGAGGGGGAGGTGTCCCTCTTATCTAAGGCACGTTCTGGCACCCTTTGTCATTTCCTCTGGAACGCTGGCATCACTTGTCCCCCCTCTTCTGTATCTTCACCCTCTCCCACCCTCTCAGCCCTTTCCCCTCAACGTGTACAATTGCTTACAGCTCTCTCATTCACACACACACACACACACACACACACACACACACACACACACGTTTCTCCGCTTTCTTCCTATCTCCTCCCTTCACAGTCAAGCTTCTCAAACTCATGGTCAAAACATATTTTTTCAATTTCCTCCCCTCCCATTTCTCCCTCAACCTTCTGCCTCTGGCTTCTGTCCCCAGGCTCCCCGTACTGAATTAATAGCCCAATTTCATTGCCACCACTCTTGGGAAATGAAGCGGCCTCAGCTTGCACTGCTGCCATGACCTCCCAGGTGGTCACCCTGCCTCCGGACCCCCCAGCACATCAAAGCCAGCATGATGTCTTGCTTAAAAGTCTTCTGCAGCTTCCCCATCACCCACCAAATAAAGTGCCTGATCCTTGTTCTGGTAATCAGGTCCCCCACAAAACCTGACTCTAATCCTTTCAGGCTTTATCTTCTCTTCTCTTAGAAAACTCTCCTCTCTGGCAAGCTGGGGCTGCATTCTGTTCCCTGCCCTTGGGTTCAAAGCCCAGCTGCATCACTTGCTAGCTGCGTCACTTGAGCACCCAAACTTCTCTGGGCCTCATTTTTCTTAGCTGTAAAATGGACACAGTAGGTTGGATATATGAAAAATACCAACACTCAGCCATAGGAACCTACAAAAATGGCAATTTCTAATGATTCAACCTAACATACCACCCACTCAAGAGGGTTGATGTGCATGAAGTGTGAGCTTGGTGGCTGGCACATCTGCGAGCTTCTCAAAGGTATCACCTTGCCCCTACGATGGGACCCTGCGTCCAGTAGGTACTCAGCAAATGCCCTTGAGATGAATGCAGCCCTAGTCCCATGGGGCTTTCTAACCAGACTCTGGAGGTCACAGCTGTGCCTCTCAGCCCTGCCCCCTGGACCCAAGCCCTCTCTCTGCAGGGCTGAACCTCACGGAGAAAATCAAGAAGATCAAGATCGTCTTCACTCCCACCATCTGCAAGCAGACCTGTGCCCGTGGACACTGTGCCAACAGCTGTGAGAGGGGCGACACCACCACCCTGTACAGCCAGGGCGGCCATGGGCACGATCCCAAGTCTGGCTTCCGCATCTGTGAGTCCCTTTCCTGCTCAGATGGTTCCCAGCTGGCCCTGGAGGGTAGATGGCCAGAGAGCCAGGCCTGCCTTGGACTGGAGCCCGCTGCTCCCAAACTGTGGCTCCACAAGTTGTCCCAAATCACATGGGGAGCTGAGTCCTCACTTGGCAGCCTAGCTGTGTGACTCTAGGAGTCACATAACCTCTCTGAGTCCAAGTTTCCTCAACAGAGAAGAGACAGAGTTCATGATAATGCCACCTCCCCATCTCCCAGGTTATTGTGGGGTGCAGGGAAACGCCTAAATAGACTTTTCAGGAAGGCAGGGGCTGGTTATTATCCACTCTTCTTCACTCTACATGAATGAAGTGGAAAGTCCCTACATTTCAGGGGGCTCCGGGCTACAGGAGCCATCTAGGGTCAGGGTTCTGCCGCCTGTTTCTCTGTGGTGGTCACCAGCCACAGAGCGGGTGCTGCTGTTCTTCCACCGCTGGTTACCTTGAGGGTTGATGTTGCAGATTTCTGCCAGATCCCCTGCCTGAACGGAGGCCGCTGCATCGGCAGGGACGAATGCTGGTGCCCCGCCAACTCCACCGGGAAGTTCTGCCACCTGCCTATCCCGCAGCCGGACAGGGAGCCTCCAGGGAGGGGGTCCCGCCCCAGGGCCTTGCTGGAAGCCCCACTGAAGCAGTCCACTTTCACACTGCCGCTCTCCAACCAGCTGGGTGAGTGCCGGCACAGCTGGGCCGGCGGGACCCTGGGAGGAGTGCCAGTTGGGTGGAGGCTGTCACCATGGCTGTGACAGGGATAGGGAAGCTGCCTGTAGTCCTTCCTTTATGATCAAACCTCCCTCTTTCTCCTGGCCCTCAGCGCTAAGTTTCATTCCCTCAACTTCTCAGCCCCCTCCCATCGGAATTTATCGACTTGTTTTTGCCCTTTCCCTGTGCTGGGAACCCTGGGGAAGACAAAACAGTGTAAGGGCAGGGTGCCGCCCTCAAGGAATCCATGGGCCTGGGTAATAGAGGGAGAATGGATGGGAAATAGAATATCAGCATAAAACATTTCATTTTCCCTGCCTTCCATTATTAGGTGCCAAAAAAATACAGAATGCTTTAGGGGATCAGGGGATGGAGAGGCTCCTAAGCCCAGAGTGCTCTGGGACAGCTGCGTGGAGGGGATGGACTGCAGTTAGGCCTGAAACAATGGGTAGCATCTGGTTAAGCAGAGGGACTGGCACGAGCAAAGGCACGGAGGTGGGGCCATGCAGGAGACAGGGGGCTGGAGTTCCAGGGTTGGCCAGGGTCATGGGGGAGGTAGAATCAGGAAGGTAGCTTGGAATGTGATAATGAGGCTCCTTCAGTGACAGAGTTTGCACTTCATCCCGTCCCCACAAGGGATCATTCTGGGGTTCTAACTTGGGAGCAAAGAAATGGAAGGAGAGTTTTGGGGTGACACATAGCCAGTGGCCTGCCTGGCCCAGGGGTGGTGGATACCCTTCAGAGGGTTGGAAATGAGGGTGGGGCCCTGCTTCCCTGGCTCTGACTCTAGCCCCTGTGCCCAGCCTCCGTGAACCCCTCCCTGGTGAAGGTGCACATTCACCACCCACCCGAGGCCTCAGTGCAGATCCACCAGGTGGCCCAGGTGCGGGGCGGGGTGGAGGAGGCCCTAGTGGAGAACAGCGTGGAGACCAGACCCCCGCCCTGGCTGCCTGCCAGCCCTGGCCACAGCCTCTGGGACAGCAACAACATCCCTGCTCGGTCTGGAGAGCCCCCTCGGCCACTGCCCCCAGCAGCACCCAGGCCTCGAGGACTGCTGGGCCGGTGTTACCTGAACACTGTGAACGGACAGGTGAGAACACAGCTCTGGCCTCAGCCCTGGATGCTTCCAGGATGGCAGTTGTCCCCAGTCTGCCCTTCTCCTCCTCTCTGTCCTCTTTGTTCTTATGGAATGTGAGTGTCTGCAGACTCTCCCATTTCCCAGATGGGAAAACCCAAGGCATGAAATTGTCCATGTATGGAGAGTCTGGGCCTCCTTCCTGGGCTCTACTTGGTGCTTGTCAATACCAGGCACACAGAAGAAGACCCAAGGAAGTTCCCCTCTGGAGGAGCTGTCACCAGCATCCTCAGGTGAAGGCAGCCTAGAGATGCTGATCCTATGACCCCTGGCACATGGACCAGTGGGGCTGTTAGGATCTGGCCAGGAGTTTTTTATCCAGTTGAGGCTACAGTTGGGGTCACAGAGGTGTGGAATTAACAAATGGAGGTTAACCCCAAAGCCCTGGTGGTACAAAGATGAGAGATACTCCTATTGCCCTCTGGAACCATCCTCAGCTCATAATGGGAAATCAGGGAAGATTTTCTGAGGCCAGGCACCCAAGAATAGGGGTTAGACCAGACCCAGTATGGTTTTTCTTGGGGTTGCCAGGAAACCGCTTAGTTTCCAGAAACTAAGGTATTTCCAGAAACCCTATCTGAGATTAGGGAACTGGAGGAGGTGGGACAGCCAAGGGGTAAACACCCTGAATTCCCAGATCATCCCTGGCCTCTCACCTTGGGGTGTCCCTGAGCCTGGGGCTCTGCTCACAAGGCCCACTCTGTGGGTGACCCTGCAGTTCCCTGGAGGTAGGCAGAGGAAGCTCTTCCTTTAGGACCCTTTGTCTGTGGTTGGGGCCATGGAGGGTGGTGGTTTGCAGCCCCGCACAGGGCAGATCTTGTGTCTGGGGTGTCCCATCCACACACAAGGTTCAGGGCTGGGAGAGTGCATGGCAGGTTTCTCTGCTTCCTTCTGGGATATGGGCTGACTCCCTTCTCCCCTTCTTTGGCTGGGGACATCCTCTGGCAGAATGTGGGGAGTGAGCTCTGTGTCCTAGGCTTTCCCGGGACATCTCTGTGCACAGCCTGGGAGGGAAGGGGGGTGGTCACAGGTGTCCATGGCCTCTCCTTCCAGTGTGCCAACCCTCTGCTGGAGCTGACTACCCAGGAGGACTGCTGTGGCAGTGTGGGAGCCTTCTGGGGGGTGACTTTGTGTGCCCCATGCCCACCCAGACCAGGTGAGTGCTGGAGTCCAAGGTCACGTGTTGTGGAGGAAGCTCTCCCTGGGCCTGCCCTCTCCTGCCAGGGTTTCCCCTCCAGGATGTCAGAGGCCAGGCAGGTAGAACAGGCTGGTAAACTGCAGACTTCCCAGACCTGCCTTGAAGGTGTTTCTGGCCAGCACTGAGGCTCCTGGCAGCCCTCTGCTGGTGCAGTCTGTCCTGCCTGCTCCATCTGATTGCCTGCAAGGGCCTGCTCTCTCTTGCAGAGATTCTTGATCAGATTTTAGGGATTTCACTCAGTGTTCCCCTGCACACCCCTCCCAGATGCCAGGGGTCCAGAGATCTTGATTCAGTGATTCAGTGTTTTCTTTATTCTCTCCCTGATGGGGCCCCCAGGCCTCCTCTTTATCTCCTTACCTCCTGTTCCAGCCTCCCTGACTTTGAATTAGGGTTGAATGTCTGTCCTAGATGTCCTCATCCTTGGGGTATGGGAGCCCTAGTTCCTTGCCCTCTTTTGGACGATGGGAAAAACCTAACATGTGTTAATTCATTCATTCATTCATTCATTCAGCAAATACTCACTGGGTGCCTTGTATGTGCCAAGGACTGCAATTTCAGGAGTGAGCAAGATGCCTGTTCACGATGCTCTCCCCAGTCTTAGTTGCACAATTGGGAGGAGGGTGACCAGATGCCTGTGCGTGAGTGTGGCTTCTGCCCATTTGTCTGTCTTCTCCCTCCAGGCCTCCTTTCTGGGCCTGGGCCTGAGCCTGGTGTGTATTTCCTTTGCCTGTCAGCAGTCAGCTTGGTCAATCAGCTTTGTCAGGAGGCTGGACAGGAGCCCAAAGATGGGAGGGGCAGGGCTGTTCCTTGCATCAGACTCAGCTGTGGAGCAGTGACTACATTTTCCAAACTAAAAATAAGTGTAGACAGTTTTACAGTGTGATAGAATTTTTGGCGAAGTAGCAAAGGGTAGTGTTCAGCTCCCAGGCTTAAATGTCTAACACATACTACGTACCAGTCCCAGCTCTTCCTGATCACCTCTCTCTGCGTCAGTCTCTTGATCTGTAAAATGGAGATAGTAATAGTGCCAGCCTCGTAGACTGCTGTAGAGATTAAATGAAATGATGCACATGCTTAGTATTAGGTCAATAAACCATGGCTATTACAATCATTATCATTATTGTAATTAGAAAGTATCCCTCAAGAAAGCGAGAAAGGAATGGACCCACTGCACAGGAGATGTGCATCAAACTGCCCAGGTCTCCCCTGTAGGCCAGAGATGTTTTTGCCACTTTTCTTCTTTCCTTGTTTTCTTTTCTCTTTCCTATCAGGCGTTGAACCCTTGAAACTTCTATATCCCACATTCTAATCAGTCGACAAATATTTACATTGACTAAGCCCCCATTTGAAGAGGCCATAGCATGCAGGCCCTGGACAGAGAGTAGAGAAGGTGGTAAAAACCGCACCTTCCTCTCCAAGCTTACAATTTAGTGGGTAGTCATAGATGGCTGGTAGGCATCAGGAATGAAGAGGTTTGAGCAGTGTCTGGTCAAGTCCTGAGTGCTGTGCAAACACAGGCAGTGGAGCCCAGGCCCCTCATAGGTCCAGTAGCACCTTTGTGCAAATTAGAAAAACCTGCCCTTCCATTTGTTCAAGATCATCTTCATAAATATGCCAATCTAGGATGCCAATGATTCCCTTAGAGATGGTGCTTTTGTGCAGTGCACAACTTGCACATCTGTACACTGTGGGATGGGGGCCCTACAGGCTAAACCCTGTGGATCAGGGAAAGCTTCTCAGAGGAGGTGACTTCCAGGATGAGATTTGAAGAATAATTAGGGGTAGGACAGTTAAGTAATGGGGAAGAGTTTAACAACCCAAGGAAATTGCATGTGCAGGTAAGACCAAGAGAATGAGCAACATTTTCTGGAGCACAGTATGTCTCTTGCTGAGCCCTGCTCAGCCCTGGCTCTCCTGTAGAAAGGCAGGCATGTCAGAAGGGTTAGGTGGGGCCAGGGCTCCCAAGTCCCTGCTCTGGGCAGGTTCTGGTTCCCAAGAGCTGGCTCATTCAGACAAGTGGGTGGGGGTCTCTCTCCCTTTACCCCATCAACCCTCTGAGGGGCATGCAGTACCTGCTGCGCTGACCAAGGTGCTGACCTGCCCTGGGACCTCCTGACCCAGTTAGGGCTGTCCTAGGAGGGAGCTGGCTTTTCTAGGTGGTAGGAACAATGAGATTTCATCCAAGTGGCAATTCAGGGGCAGCCTTAGAAGTTTCCCCTCCTTGTCTCAGGGCTCAGAAGCTGTCACGCTGTTGCCTCTGGAATCTGAGAAATAATGAAGGGGAAGAGTGGGCTCAGCTGCCAACAGCGTGAGTGTAAAGGAGTGGAGTGGTGCAGCTGAGAAACAGGCTTCCAGAAGGGCCTTCTCAGAATCCCGCTTCACTGCTGGGATTCTCCTCCCAGCTGAGGTCTATGCCCCTCTCGGAACCTTCCTCTGGGCAAGTCTTCAGGCCTTAAGGTGTCCTTGATTTGGGTACCAAGCATAATCCTGAACTCTTGAGATGCAGCCCTCTGGGTGGGGTGTCAGCGATCAGGGCCCCACAGGGTCCTTGGGTCAGTATCTCCTCTGTAATTCACTAAGCCAATCTGACAGTGATGTTAGTGGCCACAGACCTATCAGGTGACATTAGTGAAAATGAAAATAGAGCCACTCTGGATTCTTCACTTATATGTCACATCTGCCACTTATAGGATTGGAGGGGACAGTGGGAGCACAGGGCCTGCCTGTCCCAAGCTCTGGAGCCCATCAGGGGTGCAGAGATGCAGGCTGTGAGGTCCATGCCAGGGCTGGCTGCTGCCAATGGAGGATTCTAGGCCTGTTGCCCTCAGCCAGGGCTGACAGGCACCATGACCACATCCCCAGATCTTGGAAGCACTTCTGAGAGTGGGGGAGCCCTCCACTGGAAGGGTGGGGAGCAGGAGAAAAAGGCCAGAGTCTGTACTGAAGCAGCTACCTGCTCGCCCACTTGCTGCACTCCTGGTTCCACCTGTGTGCCAGCCTTGAGAGCTCAGCCCACCTGATGCCCAAGGAACCTGCTCCAAATACAGCTGGTGAGCTCGGTTCAGACAGGGCTAGAGCCCAGTGGCGGTGGGCACGGGAGCAGAGCTCTGTGGATCAGGTGCGTGCAGAACACGAATTGTACCCCTCCCCCAACACACCCAACGCTCAGCCCTTGCCCTCGCTCTGCCCCATCCCAGATGGTGGCCTCCCCTACTGTGTTCAGAACATCTCAGCGCGCTGGGCACCAGGGTACAGACCCTGGAATGTCAAGCATCCCAGCACACTGAGCAAGAAATAACAAAGACCAGGGCAACATAAACATCAAAAACACATGAAAGTGCAGTTGGGCGTTGTATAGAGAAGGGGCAAGACGTTGGGGAGCCTTGTTTGTGTTGACAGAGTGCCAGGCACCTCGCTTCATGCCTGAACCTGGGGCTGGGGTGGGCACATTTCTTTAAGTGGGGATGACAAGGAAGCTTCTATACAAGAAGCAGAGGAAGAAAAGACAAGCTGCCAGGGCAGGTTTGGGGAAGGTTGGCAAGACAGACAGGACTTCTGGATCCTAGATCATCCCTGGCACTAGTGGCTTTGCCTCTCTGAGCCCCTATTTCTCCTCTGATAAAATAGGCTTATGCTTCTGGGGGAAGCCTTTGTCATCCCCAGTAAAGTGTTCTAGCAAATCAGGCAGTGGTGGGAGTGATAGGGTGAGCAGCCTGGGAGTGGCTTCATGGCTTCCCTTCAGTCACATTCTGGCTTTGAGGCTCTGTGCTGGACTGTTGAAGAAGGTCGCAACAGAATGCCACTATTCCTGACATGGAAAAGGACTGCCTTGAAGTCTTAATTGCATGGCATAGGTAAATCCCTTTTGTTCCAGAATGCCACAGAACTTGCATGGAGAGCTGGCCCGGGAGTCAGTCTAGACCAGCCCACAGTTCCCCTCTGCTCCCTTCACTCTGAGTGGTAGAGGTAATGTGTACCCAGCTGAACTCCCAGGACTTAGCCTGAGCCAGGTCTTCCTGACCCCTTGGGATTTATCAAAGGGTCCCAGCTCATAGCCCTCTTCAATCCTCCTGCCAGAGTCTGGAGAACACACGGTTCTCAAAAGCCACTTTGATTGAGGCCACATTTTTGAGTTTTCATCTGAGAAAGACAGACATCTGGGCTGACTGGAAAGTTGGCCACTGCCCCATCTGGCTTGGCACTGGCTGTGTCAACCCCCAGGCCCCTTTGCTGGGACAGGCGGGGCTGGCACATGGCTCAGGGCCTACAGTGGTGGGCTCCAGCTGTTTGCCATGAGATCGTCTTGCCATTTGCCTGGGGTGGGTTGAGTTCACCTCTGAACCCAGGGCCCTCTGTATCTCCAGGGAGAACAGATTCTCTTGCTCTGCCCTTTCAAGGAACTCTGCACCTTTCTCTCTTAAACCAAGAATAGCCGCCAGTTCCTGAACTTTCACATTACACTGGGCCCTTCACATGTTTTGTCTCACTGAATTTGTACAGCCACCTGCAAGCCCAGGATTTTTAACCCTATTTGATGGATGAGGAAAATGGAGCTCCAAGAAGGCTGAGGAGCTTGTCCAAGGTCATACATCTAGGGCAGGTAGAGCCAGGATTCCAACCACAGTATGTCTGACTCTCAGCTGAGCAAGATCTCCCTAATCATTCTGGGGAGACCTGAGCCTCCCTGAAGGAAACAAAGATCAGGATGCTAGACTGGAATTCTGCAGCCAAGAGGATGCGCGTCAAGATTGGGTTTTGTGAGTTACTTGTGCTATATCCGTCAAGAAGATTTGGGTTAGATAGAGGGGCAGGTTAGCAACATGTAGCCCCGGCCTGCGTTAAGAGAAATAATTGCCCTAGGGAGAAGGGTGTAGGCTTTCCCCCACGTGGTTCTCAAGAGAAATATCCAATGTGTGGTGTTTCTGGTAACCAGAGCTCGACTTGAAACTGATCACAAGGGACAACTTATTAAAAACTGCAGGCGCCCAGCAATAAAATGGGTTGTGCCTAAAAGTAGTGGGCTCCAGATCACAGGGAGAATGACTACCAAGAACAGATTTTTCATAGGAGTCGACAAAGAAAATTGATTTTTGAGGAAATGGGGGTTTTTAGAGATGTTTGAAAATGTATTTGAACCTTCCAACAGAAAGAAGGCTTTGCTTTGGTCCTGACCCTTGCCCATGACGAGAGTTATAGGTGTAGCTCTGTGATGCCAGCCCCTGGGGAGGATGGGTATGGGAGGGTGCTGGGGGCATGAGGGGCAGAGAGCCTTAGGGCAGGTCACAGCAGCAACACCATTATTATCACCCTTATCATCATTCACAACCATTTATTCAGAGTACTTATAAGTGCCAGGCACGGTGCTAAGTGCTTTTTCATTTTCTTGCATCCTAACAATATTTCTAGATGTTGGGTGCTATTATCCCCATTTTACAGAAGAGAAAATTGGGCCTGAAACTCCCGGCCTATCTGACTCCAGTTGCCTGCTTCCAGCCACTCTGCAAGTGGCCTCTCTCTGCTGCTTCTTGCACCCGGCACAAGCATTTGCTGAACTGGAGGACCCCAGCTTGGGGAACAGCTGTGCTGGGGTGGGGCTCCTGTTCTCTGGGATTCTGGATGAGATGCCCAGTCCCCTACTCTAAAGAAATGGGATTTTCAGAATTCCAGTTGTCAGCTGAAAAGGCAGTGTCTCTTTGGCTCAGAGATGTTCTGAGAGCTTCTTCCAAGGGACTTGAAGCCTGCTGGGAATGAATTGTGCCTCAGGCTTAAGTGAGCACCCTCCCAACCCAGCAGGGGTGGGTGTCACTGACATGTGGCACCTCTAGCCCGGAGAGCGGAGGAAGGGCTGGGGCAGGGGTGGCTAGGTGGCACCTGCCTGAGCCAGGGGTCTGACCAGACTCTTTTTCGACCTCACTGTTTGTGGTGACTTTGGTTCTATCTTGCTCTGAGGAGGCAGTCAGAGGCCATCTTTGGGCAGAATGTCCATAATCACTGGGGGGCCCCACTGGTCCTTCACCAAGGAGGGAAATCTGAATAATGGACATTATGAGAATTCCTAAAATGGGACAAGTGTTGTGCTCAGAGTTGTACATGCTTATTTCATGTTCATAATAACCCCATGAAGAGGGACTTATCATCTCCAGTTTACTGATAAGAAGACCCAGCCTCAAAGAGGTTGTGTAACCTGCCCAAATTCACCCAGCTAGTGAGGGACAGTGGGCCAGCATGCCAGCCTTGAGACTGTGGGGAAGGAAGGGAGGAAGGAAGGGAGGGAGGGAGGAAAAAGGGAGGGAAGGCAGGCAGGCAGGCAGGCAGGCTCTATAGGGTTTGTGCCATGCATCTGCGAGGTTCAGTCTGACATTTATTGTTTCAGCAAAGCTAATCCTCACAATGACTCCACAAGCTGAGTCTTCGTCCTCACTGTTTTTTTTTTTTTTTTTTTTGAGACGGAGTCTCGCTCTGTCACCCAGGCTGGAGTGCAGTGGCGCAATCTCGGCTCACTGCAAGCTCTGCCTCCTGGGTTCATGCCATTCTCCTGCCTCAGCCTCCCAAGTAGCTGGGACTACAGGTGCCCGCCATCACACCCAGCTAATTTTTTGTATTTTTAGGAGAGACGGAGTTTCACCGTGTTAGCTGGGATGGTCTCAATCTCCCGACCTCGTGATCTGCCTGCCTTGGCCTCCCAAAGTGCTGGGATTACAGATGTGAACCACCGTGCCCAGCCCAGTCCCCACTTCTACAGATGAAAAAATTCAGCCAGGAGCGGTGGCTCACGCCTGTAATCCCAACACTTTGGGAGACCAAGATGGGCAGATCACGAGGTCAGGAGTTTGAGAACATCCTGGCCAACATGGTGAAACCCCGTCTCTCTACTAAAAATACAAAAATTAGCTGGGTGTGGCAGCGCGTGGCTGTAATCCTGTTTACTCAGGAGGCTGAGGCAGGAGAATTGCTTGAACCCAGGAGGCAGAGATTGCAGTGAGCTGAGATCGCGCCACTGCACTCCAGCCTGGTGACAGAGCTAGACTCCATCTCAAAAAAAAAAAAAAAATTCAGGCTGAGAGGTTAAGAAATGTGCCCCAGGTCACACAGGTAGTCAGAGTGGAGCCTGGGATTAGATGTGGGTCTGGCTGCCCCAGCACCTGCACTCCTACTGGGGGAGTAGAATTTTCTCTCCAGCTTGCCCTTCTGAGGTTTGCAAATCAAAGGGGCAAGGCACCAGCCTGCTCACGCGTCCCTGTGTCACTGAGCTTGGCCTCGCCAGGCATGTATGTGTCTGTCCCTGGGCAGAGGGGCTGTGTGGTAGGGACCTTTCACATCTCCCTGCTGCAGGCACCTGTCATCACAGGCTGAGATTGGCACAGCTTGTAAACAGCCCTGTGGCCAGACACTCTTCACTTTCTCCTCCACAGCTCTACTCATGGAGTCAGCGCCAAAACTGTCTCGAGAAATTAGTTTGCCTTTACTGAGGCCTCCTTGGGAGTCCCAGCAGCCGAGGGGGAGAGTTAGCAGGGCAGGGGCAGGCTGCAGCCAGGGGCCCATCTGCTTCTTTCTTCAGTTTGTGAGCAACCGAGGCACGGCAGAGGGTGGACAGGGCCAAGGCCAGGGAATCAGAAGACCATATGTCCCGATGTCCTTACCAGGAAGGTTCCCCACATCTGTCCTGCATGCTTCATGGGCATTTGTGATGTGAACTCCTTGGAGTTCAGGTCGGTCCCCACTGATCCTGGGCAGCTGCTTTGGCTTTCCCAAGTCTAAGAGTCTGAAAGGCAAGGACACTGCAGCCCTGCAAGGCCTCCTTGAAGCATCCGTGGGAGTCACAGCTTAGCCACTCTCTCTCCCCAGGTCTCACAGATTCTCTTCTTTCTACTCTCTGACCCCTTACCCCTTGTGATAACCTTGATCTGGCTGAGGAGCCACAAGGGGTAGGATGAGTTCTACACCATTTCCTTTGTCAGTTCTGCCCGGCACTTTGGTTATGCACATCGTGGAGCACTTACCAGGCATCTGATCAGTTCTTCTGACCTCCTTCTGAGTATCCCTACTTTTTTTTTTTTCTTATTCCCTCTCCTGACCCCTCATTTAAAAACAGGGTAGAGGTTTCCTAGGAAGGGTGCTAGGTTTTCTACTGGGCAGGTACCTCCATTGGTCCCTAGGGTTTTCTGCCTAGACACCCCTAAGGCTTTTCACAAATTTATTTATTTGGAGGCAGTGGGGAGAATGGTTCAGAATTTCTCCTCTGGAGCTAGACTGCCTGAGTTCATAATCCCAGCTCTGTCCACCAGCGGGGTGACCTTGGGTTTGTTTCATAACCTCATCCATTTTATGGATGAACCTCAATTTGCTCATCCATAAAATGGGAATAATATTAGTAAGACTCTCCAAGGGCTCTTATGAGCATTAACTAAGTTAATTCGTGTAAAGCCTTTATAATAGGGCCTGGCCCATAGTAAGTGCCATTTGAGTGTTTGGTCTTCTTATTTGTTCCTATTTTGACTGAGTGCCCACACAGCTCTAGGTGTCATGCTTGGCACCAGAGACATAACAGTGATGAAGAAGAATAAGACAAGGTCCTTGTCCTCACGTAGCTTATGCTTTGTGGAGAGATGGAAAAGTAAACAGGCAGCCACGACACACCATGAACTGAGTTTTTCAGCTCAAAAGCTAGTGCTGTGACTTGGGCAGGGCTGTATGTATTGGGAGCATGCAAGAGGGACACCTGGTGTGGGTGGCAGGGACGGTGACAGGTGTCACCTGCCTTCACCTGTCACAAAGCTCACTGGCTGCTGAATTTTCACCCTGAGCCATATGGCCATCTAAACTTCCACTTTCTCCCAAGGAGATTTAACCTGAATTTAACCTACATATATAAAAAATATATATATATATATATAACCTATATATATTTTAAATATATATATTTTTAATATATAATATATATATTATATATATAAATATATATAATATATATAATATATATAAATATATATTATATAAAAATATATATATATTATATATATATATAAATATATATATAATATATATATATATTTTTTAAGATGGAGTCTCGCTCTGTTGCCCAGGCTGGAGTGCAGTGGCTCAATCTCGGCTCACTGCAAGCTCCGCCTCCTGGGTTCACGCCATTCTCCTGCCTCAGCCTCCCAAGTAGCTGGAACTACAGGCACCCGCCACCACATCCCGCTAATTTTTTGTATTTTTAGTAGAGATGGGGTTTCATCATGTTAGCCAGGATGGTCTCGATCTCCTGACCTCATGATCCGCCCGCCTCGGCCTCCCAAAGTGCTAGGATTACAGGCGTGAGCCACTGCGCCTTATTTATTTATTTTTAAGACATGGTCTCACTCTGTTGCCCAGCATGGAGTACAGAGGCATGATCTCGACTCACTGCCACCTCTACCTCCTAGGCTCAAAGAATTCTCCCACCTCAGCCTCCTGAGTAGCGAGGACCACAGGCTCATGCCACCACGCCCGCTGACTTTTTGTATTTTTGGTAGAGACAGGGTTTTGCCATGTTGCCCAGGCTGGTCTCGAGTTCCAGAGCTCAGGTGATTCACTCGCCTCAGCCTCCAAAAGTGCTGGGATTACAGGCATGAGCCACCATGCCCGGCCTTAACCTGATTTTTTGGATTCAATGCTGTACTTGGTCTTACAGAAGCTAGGAACTAGCCCCTTATAGACTGTCTCTGAGAGGTGTGAGGAGGGGTGCTGAGGGCCCTGGTTTTGGGGTGGAGGTTGTTGGTAAAAATGGGAGTTTCCCCAGAGACAGTGGCTTGGCATTTATTTCCCTCTAGAAGCCTGCCTTCATGAAGAATTGCCCACGCAACACACTCCCTTCAGGCCAGCAGAGGGGCAGGTTCCCCTTATTAGGGAGGAGACCATTTTATATAAAAAGCACATACATGTATCCAGACTAATGGGTGGACCCAGCTCCTCTGAGATTCACTCATTCCTCGGGTTCTCACAGTTTTCTGCAGGTGCCAGCAGCTGGTTCCACTCTTGCTTCCTGCTCTCATCCAAGCTCTCTGCTGCTCCCCTTCTGATCACTAAAGAAGCAGGGGCCTCTGCTTCCTCCCTCTCCCTCTCCCTCTCAGTCTCCGTCTCCGTCTCCCTCTGTTGCCCAGGCTGGAGTGTAATAGCACAGTCACAGCTCACTGCAGCCCTGACCTCCCAGGCTCAAGTGATCCTCCTACCTCAGCCCCCAGAGTAGCTGGGACCACAGGCATGAACCACCATGCCCAGTTAATCTTATTTTTTTTGTAGAGACGGGGTTTTGCCATGTTGCCTGGGCTGGTCTCAAACTCCTGGACTCAAGGGACACTCCTGCCTCGGCCTCCCAAAGTGTTGGGATTACAGGTGTGAGCTACCATGCCCAACATCATTTCTCCCTCTTGACATCTAGAGAGTTGATACCTTTCCGGCCTGCTGGCTCACCCAGCTCTTCCTGATCTCTCTCTCTCTCTTAGAGAAGCACAGTGGAAGGTAGGAGAAAGGATGTGGCCTTCACAGCTAGAGGCCCGATTTCAACCCTGCCTCTGCTCCAGCAACTTTGTTACCTGGGTCAGTTACTTACCCCTCACTGAGCCTTGCTTTCCTAATCTGTAAAATGGGGATGACGGTCCCTGCCTTAGGGCATAATTGTTGTGAGAAACAGACATGACCATGTGTACCCATGGCCTTGCAATTCTGAAGCACTGGACAAATGTGCACTTGGTCTCTTTCCTCAGCCCTCTGGCAGCAGCCTTGCATCATTCTTTCCCACCTTCTGCTCCTCATAATGTTCACAGGCTGCATCTAATCAGCCTGCCTTCTGAGTTTCTCCAAAGGACTTCTCTTTCTTCCCTCCTCTCTGTCCTCAGTTTATACCACCAGGCCCCACGCCAGGGACGTGCACATCTCCCAGCCTCACTCTCATCTTTCCATCTCCTTCTCAGCGTTTTCAGAATCCCCGTGTGTCTCCACAAGAGTGGCCTTCTAGGCTGGACCCTGGTCCCTACATGGAACGTGCAAATCCGGAGCGGGCCAGTCCTGGCAGGAAAACATTTTTGAACTTCAGTTTACATTTTTTAATCTTAAAAAAGTTAAGCGTTACTAATTTATGTCCTCACTTGGTCTGTCCCTATGTCAGGCTGTCACATGTCATGCTTGGCACACAGTGTGTCCTCAGGGAAGAGTGGGGCTTCCAAGAAAATGTGGTGCCTCCTTCTATTTGTCTTTGGCATATTGCAACACAGTGCAGTTCACAGTGCTGTGTTTACTGGATTTTTTAGTTATGTATTCTGGTGTTAACTAAACTAACCCACACAAAATGGAGAGGTGGCTCTTAAAAGCTCCTGCAAAGAAACTGTGGATGCAAAATGACACTAGTCCCATAATCACAAGCAATCATTAAAAAACGCAATGCCGACCCTTCTCAGGGGGTCTTACCATGTCACTCAGCCTTATTACAAAGTAAAAATCGTGACGACCTATCAGATGTGACCCCCAAGTACCCCAGGATCCAAATGATCGAGAAGACTATATGAAATACAGATTGATGTAGGCCATTACTAATAACAAACCTTGCGCTAAGTGTGTAAGTGCCCAGAGAGAGCAGCTAATGGTGAAATAATAGCTATCTTGATTAGAAAAACATTTTAAACCACCAAGACACTCAAACTTTGCTGTACAATTGGATAAAGGATAAATATCTCTAACATGCCTCTTGGTATTTGCAAGAATTCATTTCAACAATAAAAATATATGAAAGGCTGGGTGCGGTGGCTCATGCCTATAATTCCAGCACTTTGGGAGGCCAAAGCAGGCGGATCACCTGAGGTCAGGAGTTCAAAACCAGCCTGGCCAACATGGTGAAACCCTGTCTCTACTAAAGATACAAAAGTTAGCCAGCCCTGGTGGCACATGCCTGTAATCCCAGCTACTCGGGAGGCTGAGGCAGGAGAATTACTTGAACCCAGGAAGTGGAGGTTGCAGTGAGCCGAGGTCACGCCACTGCATTCCAGCCTGTGCGACAGAGCAAGACTCCATCTCAAAAAAAAGAAGAAGAAGAAGAAGAAGAAAATATGAAGAACTCTCTTTTTGTAAACCACTAAAGGATGAACCAGTGGACATATATTCTCAACAGTAAATGACTTCCTGGATGACAATAAGCTTTAGCAAACAACACTGAAAGTGTAGCTACTGATGTTATGACTGGGAGAAAAAGGAATTGGGATAAGGTAACAGAGATGGAGGGTGCAGCATTCAGAGACAAGCTATTGCCACAAAGGAGTCAAAGCTAGAAGACGGCAAATTGCTACAGGAAGCCATCATGCAGCTACCTTTATAGAGCAAGACCTTTGAAATATCATGGTATATTTATGGAACTTTGTATGGAATAAGGTCTGTGGCAATTGCTCGTGCCTGCTTAGAATTGCTGGCTATCTATAGGCAAAAGAATTGTCAGACTTATAGCTGAGTTCTCTTTTTGTTCCACAAAAGATAGTATTCCCCTGCCTTTTCCTGTGAAGACAGGTGGCGATCAGAAGTATGCCTCCTGCTAGAGCTTTTCAAGAGGGTTGGCACACTAGTCTGTTCCTCCAAAGTAATGGAGATTTTTTTCCTGTTTTTATTTAATGTCAACTCTTTGGTTTTTTTTTTTTTCTTTGTAAAGTAAGGGGGAATGTTGTGATTTCAAGGCAGGATGTGTATCAGCATAAAAATACTGAGAATAATTTCCTTGTTGGTCAATCTGCAATCAGACATCTGTGTATTTTTAGTATTTCAAAATAAAAAGCAAAAAGTAATAACAATAAAATCCATGTTATATATATAACATGCATGTAGTGTAGTAGATACTATATGTAATAACTATGTATGTGAAGTATATAATACATTTTTCTTAGTATTAACAAAATTTTAATTGACAAATAAAAATTGTATATATTTGTGGTGCACAACTATTTGTTTGTTTGTTTTGAGATGGAGTCTTGCTCTGTCACTCAGGCTGGAGTGCAGTGGCGCAACCTCAGCTCACTGCGACCTCCCCCTCCTGGGTTCAAGCGAGTCTCCTGCCTCAGCCTCCTGAGTAGCTGGGATTACAGGCATGTGCTGCCATGCCCAGCTAATTTTCATATTTTTAGTAGAGATGGGGTTTCACCATGTTAGCCAGACTGGTCTCGAACTCCTGACCTGAGGTGATCCACCTGCCTTGGCCTCCCAAAGCACTGGGATTAAGGCATGAGCCACTGCGCCTGGCTGGTACACAACTGTTGTTCTGAAATAAGTATACATTGTAAAGTGGCTAAATTGCACCCATGTGTATTACCTCATATATTTATTTTTTGTGGTGAGAACACTTAAAATCTACTCTCTTAGCAATTTTCAAGAATACAAGACACTGTTATTAACCATAGTCACTATGTCGTACAACAGATCCTTTGAACTTATTCCTCCTGTATCTAACTGAAATGTTGTACCCTTTGATCAATATCTCCCCTCTCCCCCAGGCCCTGGTAACTACCATTCTACTCTGCTTCTATGGGTTTGCTTTTCTTAGGTCCCATATGTAAGTGAGATCATGTGATATTTGTCTTTCTGTGCCTGTCTTATTTCACTTAGTACTGCTTTTAATAAAAGCGAGGTGGGCTGAGAGGAGTCTGGTGAGAACCAGGAAGCACAGCTGCCCAGGGCGATGGCTTCGGGGGCTGGGGCTCACTGCTGCCGGGTGGGCTGGACATCCAGACTGCACCCGCTTCCCAGCATGGGTGACAGAGGAGCCCAGGGGCCGTCCAGTGAGACCTGTCCGTATCTCCACTCTTCAGCCTCCCCGGTGATTGAGAATGGCCAGCTGGAGTGTCCTCAGGGGTACAAGAGACTGAACCTCACTCACTGCCAAGGTAGGACCCCCAGGGCCAGGGCTGGGCTCAAGGATGCCGGGGCACACTCCCAGCACCAGACAGGAGGGGTGTCTGTCACTGGCCGAGTGGTCTCCACTGAGTCCCTCTAAGCCCCAGCTTTGGGGAGTGGTGGGGGGCTGCTGATTCCAGGGGACTAAGGAAATCCAGGGACTTGCTTGAGAGTGACAGAGGAAGCCAAGGGGGCCGACACCTCCCCTCGTCCCCATCTCCACCCACACCCACCTGGAACACAGGCTAGGGGCTCTAGGCTATGTGGGGCTGTGTCTGAAGGGGCCACCCCAGTCTGTGCACTTCCACTTTTCTCCTGAGCTGGTCTCCCTGGAGTGGGAAGAATTTCAGCTCTAGGGTGGGAAATCAAGTCAGCCTGAGTTGTTGGGGCCTCTGTGGGCTTTTCCCAACTGAAAACCTTTAGCTACTCAGGCTTCCCTCCCGCTTGCTTCAACCCATAGCCAGGAAAGGGGACGGGGAGCACGGGGGCTTCCTGCCTGGGACAGGCTCCTGGGGCTGGCAGAGGCCAGTGGGGAACAAGGTGGCTTCCCTGTGGGGAGCTTTGACAACTGGACAAACAGTTGTCTGTATGGTTTGCTTTGGGTGGAGCTGGGTCAGAGACAGGGGATTGACCCAGATGGCCTCCAAGGTGCCCTCCTCCTGGAGGTTGCTTCAGAGAGAGGAGTCTGGGGAAGCTCTGCATGGCTGGGCTGTCTTCCTTGGGGGTGCCAGGCTGCAGAAGTGATTCCTAGCCCGTGGATAAGCAAAGGTGCTGGGGCCAAGCAAAAGGGCAGGTCTCTGGCCCAGCCTAGTCCAGAGTCAGACTCCCTCAGGAGCCAGTGGTTTGAGGGCCAAGCAGACAGTGGATGTAGGGAGAAATACGTATTTTTGCCTTTGGAGGGTACATCGGGGCTGTTCATGTCTAAACAGTCACCAGTTGCTTTTCCTCCTGGTATGTTTCCCAATCTGGAGCTTTAAGGTTATACTCAGGATCTCAAATGGGCTCTCTGCCCTCCCTCTACTGAGCCCCAAGATTCAGGACACCAAAGGACCTTCCCTCAGGAGGCCCTGCCCCTGAAACCTCCCCTTCCCATGTATGTGGCTGTGGTCTCTGTGTCTGCGAAGGGACCTGCTCATCTCTGCACCCGCATGCGTCATCTCTCCTCTCTCTCCATCCTTCTCTCCTACTTCCACAGAGTATTGGAGGGGAGGTTACTATGGGCTACATACACTGTGCTAGGAGTACACAGTGATGGAGAAGACAGTCCTGCCCCAAGTGCAGACAGACCCCCTGAACAATCAGGTCTAATGAGCGGGGCATTCTTGAGAGAAAGCAGCAGTCCCTGAGTGCTACAGGATCCCATGGTGGGGGCGCCTTCCCAGACTGGAAGGATCAGGGAAGGCTCCCTGGAAAAGGTGATACCTAAGGCCAAGACTTTAAAAATGAGTACACGTTGGCCAACTAAGAGGATGCAAGCTCTCCAGGCAATGTGAACCCCATAAGCAAAAGAACAGTTTGTGCTGTCTGGAGTGTCCCAGAAAGTACTGTGTACGTGGCCTGTGTACACACGGGAGATGCCACATGTCTGCCAGTGTCTCATCAGAGCCACCTGTTTACCCACAGGCTTTGGGGAAAGGTAGAGGGCCTTGGATACCATGTTAGGGTTTAGAGCCTCCCTCTAAGAAGTGACAGGGAACCCAGAAGCAGAGGGAAGCAAGTCAGATTTGGGTATGGAGGCCCACATCCCACTGTGGCCACAGTCTGGATGCATATGGATCACTGCCCCTTCCCATTTCTCAGTAGCACCTTCCCAGCTCTTATTGGCACCCTGCCACAATGGGGCATCCTACCAAGGAGTAGTGCCCCTTGGTGCTCAGGCTGGGTCACCTTTCAGTCCCTCGTTCCTGTGCCCAGTGCCAATTTCCCCAAACCGGTGGGTGACCTGGCTCTGCAGACACAGGGCTGCCTGTGTTACCGCCTGGCCTGGAGGCAGGTGCCCCTCACAAGCAATTAATGCTTATCATCTCTGCTGCCATCACCACCATCAATAGAAGTGCCATCATCAAGATGGCCCCCGACTCCTCATATCTTAGATTGTGAGGGCTGAGACTTCCCCTTGGCAGGGAGAAGTTTGCAGCAGGAAAAGGGGGTTTCCCCCTTTGAGGTCACAGAAGAAACCAGTGCACCTCCCTTATTTGAAGAACAGCATGAGCCTCCACGGGTTTCCGGGGGGATGCGTGCAGCCTGCACAAGGAAGGGCGTTCAGGAGGACCCGAAGATGTGCCCTTCTGACCCTCAACCTTTGCACACTCTTAACTGTGACCCCTGCTGTCCCCTTCCCCTTCAGTGCCTTCCTCCAGCCTCTGCCTCCTTTTCCTTACCAGGGTCCTCCCTCCTCCAGCTCACTGCAGACATGCTCCCAGGGTCTTGGGGCCTGCAGAGGTGCTTCAGGGACCTCTGGAGGAAGGCTGAATAGGAGGGACTTGGCTGCCCCTTCTCCACCTTCCAACCCACACAGTCCCCCTGATCTGTTTCCTGTCTGCATCTCAACATGCCACTCTCCAGCTGAATGACTCTGTGCCCAGTGCCAATTTCCCCAAACCAGTGGGTGACCTGGCTATTCCTGGGACCTCAGTTTCTTCTCCTGTAAAATGAGGACATGTGGGCCTATTTGATAAAATTGTTTGTGAGAATTAAATGGGGTATTATATGTTAATACCCAGCAGAGTACGTAGCATGTAATAGGTGCTCAATAAACACTAGCGCTTGAGGCCTGGCAAGGCAGCTCATGCTTGTAATCTCAGCACTTCGGGAGGCCAAGGCAGGCAGATTGCTTGAGGCCCAGAGTTTGAGACCAGCCATGGGCAACATGGTGAAAACACATCTCTACAAAAAATACAGTACAAAAATTAGCTGGATGTGGTGGTATGCACCTGTCGTTCCAGCTACTCGGGAGGCTGAGGCATGAGAATTGCTTGAACCTGGGAGGCGGAGACTGCAGTGAGCTGAGATCACACCCCTGCACTCCAGCCTGGGTGGCAAAACGAGACTCTGTCTCAAAAAATAGATAAATAAATAAATAAACATTAGCTCTTAATATTATGATCATTGTTACATGCCACTTATTGGACAAAGTGGTTTGCAATTTGATCTTATCCATTTAACAACACCATCTGGTTGTTACTATCATTATCCTCATTTTACAAATGAGGAAACTGAGGCACAGGGAGAGGAATCCCACTGAATACATAGCAGCTCTTTTGTTGTTGTTTTATCTGGAGAGAGTATTTGAAGATCTCTGCCCAGCCCCTCTGCTCCATCAGGCCTCCGTGGGGCGGGCACTTGGTCATCTCCTCCAACCCTGCAGATATCAACGAGTGCTTGACCCTGGGCCTGTGCAAGGACGCGGAGTGTGTGAATACCAGGGGCAGCTACCTGTGCACATGCAGACCTGGCCTCATGCTGGATCCATCGCGGAGCCGCTGTGTGTGTGAGTGCTGGCAGGGATGGGGTGGGGGTGGACAGTGGGAGACAAGATGGGACACTTCAGGTCCACAGGCCAGGCCCAGGGCAGCAATTTTCCCCAGACCTGATCACGCCATGCTCAGGGCCTGTGTCGGCTATTCAACCTGGAGTTGGGCCCAATGTGAAAAACCTGATCAGCCCATCCTGCTGGAACAGAGATGGTTACTACTTCACTTTTTACACTAGGCATTTTTTCCGGGCCTTTGCAGTTTGGAATTCGTCTTTTCTATTTCTTATTTTTTTTCCTTTCTAATCATTTCTGTTCCATGTGTAGCCTCGTTTTCTTTGGTGGCGGGAGGTGGTGGGGGTGGCCTCTGCTCTGATGTCTGGCTGAGCCTTGGCTGCTGAGTGACCTTTCCAGAAGGGCTGTCCATAGCATTCATGGAGCTGCTGCCCGACCCGAGGGCCTTTCCACAATCCTGTGGCCCCTTGTGGTTCTGAAGTTTCTCCTTATCTGTGAACACATAGTGGGCATTAGCATTGTGTCCAGGTATGTACATGCATGTATGCCAGGCAGCCCTGTTTCCAGAGACCTCTGTGGTTTCCAGGGTGAGAGGCCCAGGCTGGCAGCAGCCCCCAATGGCAGAACTGACACCACAGCCCAGATAGGGCTTTCCCTGGGCCGGGAGGCCTGACCAGAGCTGAATAAAACCAGTCCCAACTGGCCTCTGGGAGGCAGCAGCCGAGGTTGGATGGGCCACGCCCAGCTCAGCAGAGCTCCCTGCAACCGGCCAAGCCCTCAGTCTGCAAACTTTCTGGTACTGGGTTTGGGAGGGCCATGGGATTGGACAAGACTCCAGTGCCACCCAGAGGCTGAACCCAGTGGCTCTAGGGAGAGAAGACAGCAAGAGCTATAGGAGGGGGGTGCCCAGAGAGTGAGGGGCCCAGAGTGGGGAGAACATGTCAGACCGCTCTCAAGAAACCTTCATGGTGGCAGTGGCAGGTGATCAAGGCCTTGAGAGGCTTACACCCTTCCTTCTACTCCACATCACTTAAGATCCCTTTACCAGAGAGGTGTGTTTGACATCCAAGGTGACTTATTTATTAGTCCCAGAAAGAGACCCTTAATACAGGGAAGCAGAGATGGCTCTCGAGTGTCCTTTTTTCCCTCTCTGTCCCTGGTGTTACTCCCTCCAGCCTCCTACAGTGATTCACCTCCCTGTAAGTGGGAGGGGTGGCACGAAGTTTCTCTTCCCTTTGTTTCTGAGTTCTGCCTCCTTCCCTCCCTGCCGCCTGACCAGGTCCAGTGGGGCAGTCTACAGGGCTGCCCCAGCCTCCTGATATTCCCACCTGGGTCATCTCCACCCTGGGGTTCAAAGGGACAGAGCCCTTCCTTACAGTGTCCCAATGGAAGTGGCTGCTAGAAGCAGAGTTTGCACCTGGAGATCCAGGGCTCACAGACGGCTGATGATTTACCTGTGGCGGGCACATGACCTTTAACAAGCCACTCTCACACACCTCACTCTATTTAATCTCCACGACAATACCACGAAGAAAGTTTATTAATCGGGAGTCTTTGGATTGCAAGTGACAGAAACCAAACTCAAACTGCCTTAAGCAAAAAAGAATTCGCTGGGGCTGGGCCCCGTGCCTCTCACCTGTAATCCAAGCACTTTGGGAGGCTGAGGCAGGTGGACCACTTGAGTTCAGGAGTTTAAAACCAGCCTAGGCAACATGGTGAGACCCTGTCTTTACAAAAAATTAAAAATTAGCCAGGCGTGGTGGTGCACACCTGTAGTCCCAGCTACTTGAGAGGCTGAAGTGGAAGGATGGCTTGAGCCCCAGAGGCAAAGGTTGCAGTGAGCCGAGATCGTGCCACTATACTGCAGCCTGGGCAATAGACAAGACTCTTCTCAAGAAAAACCAAAAGCATTGGTTCACACAACTAGGAAGTGCAGACGTGGTATGGCCTCAGGCTGGCTGACCTAGGCAGCCACAGTGTCTGCAGGGCATGTCCTGCTCTTTCCTCTGTGTGAGTTTCATGGTTCCTTCAAAGGTGGTCACCAGATGCTCTAGGCCTACACCCTCTCAGCCTTGCAAACTCAATAAAAAATGAGCCCCTTTTCCCCAATAACCCAGGAATAATAGTCTCAAAGCTGATTATCATTGGGCCTCCTTGGTTAAGTGCCCATCCCTGACCCAATCACTGTAACCAGGGGTATGGACCACAAGCCTTCAGCCAGAAAGGCGTCAGCCTCCACTCCAGTCATATGGACCAAGGGTGGGAAAGGGTGGTTCCTGTAGGAGAACCAGAGTGATGATACGAGAATATGGTGCATAGACTCTGGGCAGGCAGAAATACAGGTGTCCCCTGCGATGGAATCATCATTCTCATCTTCATTTTACACGTGAAGAAGCTAAGGCCCAGGGAGGTCTGTAGTTCATGGTGGAGCAGGGATTTGAACTTGGTCTGCTGCGTCCTGGGCCTGACCAGCACTTCCCCAGAATCATTCATTCCTAAACTTTGATTGATGTCCTCTTCAGCCCACTCTCCTCCTCTTAGAATCCAGTCAGCCCTCTACGGATTCCAGACTCTTCCAACCTGGCATGGCCTCCTCGTCTTCCATTGAGATAACATACAGAAACTATTCTTTAATATTTATTTTCAAAGTACAAGAAAGGAGATAAGGGTGGTGGCATTGCTATGACCTAAGCCCAGCATAGCTCAAACTCACAGTGACCCTCAGTATTTTGATTGGCTGGTTGATTCTGTGTTTGATTGGTTCATTGACCTAGCCATCCACGCATAGCTTCAACAAGCATTACTAAGCATTTGCATGCACCAGGCACTATGGGAGGTGCCTGGGTGACAGAGATGACCCAAGATAGGGTCCCTGTCCTCCGAGCTCCCCATCCGGCCTTAGCTCCTTACCTTGCCTCATCTTCCCAGGGAGGCTGTGGTCCTCAGGACATACTGCTGCCCGCTCAACCCTAGGGACACGTGGGGCCTTCAGTAAACACTTCTAAACTCGGCACTGGAGACAAGCAGCTGCATCCTCATTCCCTGCTCTCAGGTTCTCCACATGCAGGTGGGGAGTCACGAGTCTCATCAAGCACACAACATGGGCAGGTGCTGAAACATTCCACTACGCCTCTTCCTCCTAAAGTTCTTGTGAGCATTTGCAGGGCTCCAAACTTCCCAACTGAGATATGGGCCAGGCCAGTCTGAGTGCATGTGGCCAGCCACACCTCCATCCACTGCCCTCCCAGCTGCGCATTCCCCTCCCACTGGCCACCTGCCCACCTCCACGTGCTGTGTCTGTTGCAGCGGACAAGGCAATCTCCATGCTGCAGGGACTGTGCTACCGGTCGCTGGGGCCCGGCACCTGCACCCTGCCTTTGGCCCAGCGGATCACCAAGCAGATATGCTGCTGCAGCCGCGTGGGCAAAGCATGGGGCAGCGAGTGTGAGAAATGCCCTCTGCCTGGCACAGGTAACCTCCTGTTCCCATCCCAGCTTTCACTGCCCAGGGGCTCAAGGCCAGTGACCATGTTGCCAGGCCTGGGTAGACTTCCCTCAATCTGGAAGACTGAAGTAGCCTTCCCTGCCTGCTCACGTGCTTATCCCAACCTGGGGCTCCCTCCCTCCTTGCTGCCACAATTGCCGTGTCTCCCAAAGGGAGGGAAAGGAAGGCCCTGGTTTCCTGCAGGAACAGCACCTCTCAGTTTGTCCTCTGGCTGTTGGCTTTGCAGAGGCCTTCAGAGAGATCTGCCCTGCCGGCCACGGCTACACCTACGCGAGCTCCGACATCCGCCTGTCCATGAGGAAAGCCGAGGAGGAGGAACTGGCAAGGCCCCCAAGGGAGCAAGGGCAGAGGAGCAGCGGGGCACTGCCCGGGCCAGCAGAGAGGCAGCCCCTCCGGGTCGTCACGGACACCTGGCTTGAGGCCGGGACCATCCCTGACAAGGGTATCTGAGCTGGGGGAGATGCCTGAGGGATTTTCCTTTCCCCTAAGTTTCCAGCACCTCAGAGAAGTGTGGGTGTTAATCCTGGGTCCCTGGGCATCCCATCTCTGTGGCATTAGGAAAGGGAGCTTGGAGCAGCAGCACCCAACCCTGGCAGCCTTCTCTCATGGCCTGGCCCCACCCACTTCCTCTTCCATATGGGGTCAAGAGGTGCCCACGCCCCAGGGAGTTGCTTGTGGAGGTGGGAAAGATCAGCCGCAGCCCCCACCCCAGCGATCAGGCCTCTCCATCTCCTGCCCTCTGGCCATGCAGCTTCTGGGGCCGGTGCTTGCTGCAGGCCTGAATAGCTGGCAGGTGGGTCCTGGGGACCTGCATGTCAGACCCCTGGCCCGGCCTTGGAGTCAGAGTGCTAACTCCAGCTCAACGGCCTTGGACCCCAGAGGCACGGGGCTGGAGGGAGGCTGGGTATGAGGCTCTCCTTGCAAGTGCCCTGAAAACCATGGAGAAGTCATGCCCAGGTCACTGGTAACACTGAATGCAGGAGGCCTGGAACGTCATAGCGCCAGCAAACTATGTGATTGGTCAAACTGCTCCAGGAATCTGGAATAGACAGGGGAGTGAGGACAGAGCCCCAGTTGTTGTGGACACAGGACACCGGCCAAGCCAGGAGCAATTCCACTCCTTCCTCAAACTGTTCCCCTGGCCCAAAGCCCAGGGCAGGGGGCTGCATGACCCAGCCTGGCTGGGAGGCATGGGAGGGAGGAGGTAGCAGTGCAAGGAGGTGACTCCAGAATGGATGGGGTGGACAGGTCCGGGAGCAGGTGGGACTCCTGTCACCCGAGGCCTTACAGGAAAGCAGGGCCTTCCGCTTACCAAGTGAGAGGCTTCACTAAGCTATCTTCAGGCCCTCCAGACCTGGGGTTCTGGAATTTTGTGGTGGCCAGTCCCTACAGGGGTGATGGGGCAGAGGCAGGTAAGAAGAGTCCACGCTTTCTGTGCTGCTGGCCCTGCTGGGGATGTGGTCTGGGGCGCAGACTGTGAAGCCGCCCAGGTGGCGGTGAGGGGAGAAGGCAGCCAGACCCTCCTCCCTGAGCTCACGCTGTTACCTTTCCCTTCCAGGTGACTCTCAGGCTGGCCAGGTGAGTGCGTCCTCCCACTAGGGGGCCGGGCAAGCATGGCAGAGAGCAGGACCTGGTAGCAGCTCAGGCCCCAGGGCAGTGTCTCATGAGGGAGGGAGAGGGAGAAAGATGGAGTATCTGTTAGATTTTACTTGAAGAGATGACCAAGTGGGAGGATTGATCCAAAGACCCAGTTTTACCCTAAAGGAAGTGATAACAACAGCTCTTGTTTATGGAGCAGCCATTGTGCAAGCATTTTCCCATTTGGGATGGGCTGGGGCCCCTTCAGAAAGGAAGTAGGAACATGTCCTGTTAGGCCTGGCTGTCACTCAAGCTTTAAGCACTGCAGACGAGGTGTGGAGCTGCTTCCAGTTCATTCTGGGTCTGGCACTTTCTGCGCTGGTTTAGTTGAACCTCCAGGTCCCTCTGGGAGTGGTGTACAGGGAAGTGTGGGCACAGCTGTGAACAGCCTCAAACCACCTCACGGAGAAAGGTGCATCCAACTCCCTTCCCTGTGCCCAAGATTCCCCTGGGAAAACCTGGGTGTCGTCCCAGGAAAACATTCCAGAAGAGGGGATCTGCTTCTTCCCTCATCAGCCTCAGTCCCTACTCTGTCCCCTGCCCCTCCAGCCTGCATACCTGACTGTTCCCAAATACAGTTTCTTCCGGGTGCCTTGTTCTGTCCCTGGGCCACCATATGATGTCCCCCCAGGCCAAAGCTCTAACTCTGGTCCCCACAGACGCAGCCAGCCTCCAGGGCCTTTTTCACCCTCTGCCCACTCTTCTGCTGTTACATCCCCACCTCTCAGCAAATTCTGTCCACTGGCTATGTTGAGGGACACCAGGTATAACCTGTGGTCCCAGCTTCCCCACTCTGGCCCTGTGGCTCCAGGCACTCTAGTGAACCTCCAGAGCTTCTGTTACTGTGTTGAGATGCTAGGGTTATAGCTGACACCAAATTGCTGATTTTCTACCATGGACCCAACACTGAGCTGGCATAGTATGTATATCAGCTCATTTAATCATTTCAACCTCCCATCATAAGATAGTTGAGAAGGTTAATGAAGTGAGTGTGTGTAAAGTGCCTGGCAGAATGCCCAGCATAGAGTAAGAACTCATCAATACCTGGAATGAATGAAAACATGAATGAGCTCCTGGTAGGAAGCCCGGAGGTGGGGGTCAGTGTGGTGGAAGGTGGCACATCACAGGTACGGCAGAGGAGCCAAAAGTGACCTTCTCCTGTTTCTGTGCAGGTCACGACCAGTGTCACTCATGCACCTGCCTGGGTCACAGGTGAGTCCCTCTTCCTGGCGGCTCCTAGGCAAAAGAGAAGGGAGGGAAAGAGCCCTTAATCAGGAGTGGAGTTACTATGTGTGAGCTGGTTCACGCTCACACACACATCAGAGGAGGGTGAGAAGGACGTGGCCTGTGAGTGCTGTTTCTGGGAGCTCTCTATACACCTAAGGTGCTGTGAAGTCAGCGAGAGACCCCATGACGCTTCACAGATAGTTTTCTAGCCACAGAACTCTTTGCAAATTTCATGGCACCACTTAGCACATAAATCAGAACAAAGAGACAGCACTAGCTGAAACAGGTGTTTGGCTGGGTCGCTAGACTCTTTCCCCCAAGAGGTCTTGTCCTGAAACCACTACTTGCCTGTCACTGGTGTTGGGTTCAGACATTGGAAGGCTGAGCTCATGCTTCTTGTAAAACGGTAGAAGACACTGATGCCTGTCTTGCAGACTCTCAAAGCAAATAAGATGTTGGTATTTGTGGCAGAGCTCTGTAAGCTGTGAAATGCTTTGTAAGCAGAAGTGAAAGAATGTTGAAGTGGGAATTAGGAAACCCAGGTGTCAGCTGTGCCTCCGACAAGCTGACTGGCCTTGGACAAGTGACCATTTCTGCAAGCCTCAGTCTCCTGGCCCTGACATGGAGGATTAGACTGGATGTGCTCCAACGCCTGTTAGAGCTCTCAGATTCTCTAAGTGGGGCCAGATCAACTTTCAGGAGACTGGAAGGCATGGGAGTGACCCACCCCAGGCTTCACCCTTCGTTCTTGGGAGTCTGAGCACCAGGGAAGAGGGAAGGGCCATGGCCAGCCAAGGGGCCACAACCCCACCTCTTCCCCTCTCTCCTCCACAGGGAATGCCACAACCCCACCAATGCCTGAACAGGGGATTGCAGAGATACAGGAAGAACAAGTGACCCCCTCCACTGATGTGCTGGTGACCCTGAGCACCCCAGGTAGCTGCAGCCAGACCTTTGGGGCTCCCTGCACCCTGCCCTGTGAGCTGTGTCTGTCCAGAGCCAACTCCAGGGCAGGGGCATGAATGGAATGCCCCCTCACCTTTCCAACTAGGTAAAGTCCCCAGCAGGCTCCCAGCTGGGCTGTGCACCCCTGGCCTCATCTTACAAAGAACACAGGGTCCCTCTTGTGAAAACAAGAGCCCTGCCTGGAGCACTGCCCAAGCCCAGAAGGGGGAAGAGAAGGGACACCATGGGAGAAGGAAGCCAGGGGTCTTCCAGGAGAATCTGGGGGTCCCTCTCAAGGAAGGGGAGCATGGGGAGTGAGGGCCACTGGGATCCTGGCTCTTCCAGGCCACTCCCCTGAGTCAGCAGAGTGCCTGGCAGCGAGCAGCTGCCTGCCCACGGGGAGGGCTGATTTTCGGGAAGGAACATGGTTCTATTTCTCAAGGTTGTTTAACCAAGCCTGCATTCCTCTCCCTCTGGTCAGCTACAGTGATGGGGGCGAGGGGCGGGTGTGGGGGCGATCCTGGCAAATCCACCTTGCTCTGGAATGTGCCCTCCTTAAAGGCTCATTGTCTGGGGACTTGGTGCAGGAGAAGCAAGGCGGGTGTTGTTGCCGCTGCTCCCTGTACACGTGTGTGCCCGCTCCTGGGGCTCCTGCTCTCTTAACCTTACGACTGGGTCCAGAGACCCAGTCACCTTGTGTTGGGGGTGAGGGTGGTCAGGGGGTTCTGGATTTCCTTCAGCAAAGGGAAAGCCCCTGCGCCTGGTGGAACAGTCCAGAGAGTGGGGAGTAGGGGTCCAGCCTTCCCAGGCACACCCCACTGACCTCTCCTGGGACCTCTCTCCTCTGGGCTCAAAGCGCTGCTCCAGGGAGCATCCCCTTCTGGCCTCTGCTCAGCAGGCAGAGTGTGCAGAGGAGTGCTGAATTTCTGACAAGGAAAATGGACCTGGAGGAAGGGATGGGAAGCAGGGGGCAGGGGGCAGGGGGCAGGCCAAGCTCAGCAGCAGCTCTTGGCATGTGGATGAGTGTCCCCACCGCAACCCCAGCCTCAGCCTTTTGCCCTATCCCCCTTCTCCTCTGCCATTCTGTAACCTCACCCCTCTGGGCAGACATTTAGGACCCAGCTGAGGGCCCCCACAACCCCCAAGGCTGACACAAACTTAGAGCCAGGCCCGGGGAGAGGGTAGCCTTGGGTGCACATTCAATTCAGTACAATCTGGCAGACTGTTAAGCCCCACTGTATACCCACGTACAGACCATTCCCCAACCCATTCCCTTGGGTCTTCGGCTTCTCCCAAGCTATGGGGGCGGGGCAGGGACCCCTGAGCATGTGGGCTTCAGGCAAAGACTTCAGGGTGGACACAAATGCAGAAGCATCATTCATTCATTTATCCATTTGGCATGTTCTAAGTGCCAGGTACCTTTCTAGTATTAGGGATACCGTTCAGAAAGCTAAAGTCTCTGCTGTCTACACAGCCTCAACCCCGAGTCCCAGTGAGTCTGCCTCCAAACTATTTCTCAATTCTGTACCTGTCTCCCCACTTCTCACCCCATCACCACCACCCAAGGCAGACCCTCATTTAAATTATTTCAACAGGTTTTAAGGACCCACTATACCTCCCTTACCAGTTCATCCATCATCTCGTTGCCTGAGTGGCCTTTCTAGGACTGCTCTGACCCACCCCCACCTTTCACAAAATCCTTGTTACAGGCCAGTCTCAATGTGGCTTTCAAGGCTCTGCTCAGCTGACCCCAGTCCACCCCTCCCATTTTCCCCTGGCAGTTTTCCCCAAGCACCTTACTCACCAGGTCTGTCTGTCTGTCCAGGGAAAACTGGGCAGGAGTTGCAGGGAGGGATGGCGCTGGGCACTGGGTAGGAGTCAGGCCCATTTTCGGGGTGGGGCTAGGATGGAGGGGTTTTGCTGGAAATTTGCTGGAAATATGGGTTATCCATTAGATCTCGGTGAGGGGGATGCCCTACTATGACCTCCATCCTGGGTAGGGCTCGGGGTGCTGGGCAGAGGTCCCCTAGGGTCTTATGCAAGGCCAAGCTGTGCATGGGTATGGGAGGGAGGGCCTGGCTAAGGTTGGCCTTCTGAGGCCCCTAGACCCTGGCCACTGACTGTCCCCACCCCGCTCCACTGCCTTTGTCCAGCACCCACCCTGCCATAACCTCTGTTTTGCTCTGTCTCCCACAGGCATTGACAGATGCGCTGCTGGAGCCACCAACGTCTGTGGCCCTGGAACCTGCGTGAACCTCCCCGATGGATACAGATGTGTCTGCAGCCCTGGCTACCAGCTGCACCCCAGCCAGGCCTACTGCACAGGTATTCACTTGGGTGCCCTGGGCTTACTTGGCGGCTGGGGTAGATGGGAGCAGGGGCTAAGAGGCCGAGTTGAGAGTCCAGGAAGAAGCAGAAGGTCCAAGCAGTGCTGGGTGGTTGATGAGTTTAGGAGGAGCACAGTCCCTGTGGACTAAGCTAACTTTAACCTTCAGGGGAAGACCAGTCTCGGTGAGCCCCATCCGATGAGTCTCCAGGACTCCAGGAGCACAGAAGCCAGCCCATTGCATGCATCCTGGCCTGTGCCTGGCAGCCCTCTTCTCTGAGATCAGCCCACCCCTCAAACTGGCCATTTTGCTGCCTGGAGAGCACACCCAGGACTGCCCCAGTTGCAAATGTCTCCACCAGGGTCATCCGTAGGGGGAGGTCTGAGGCTAAGATAAATCATCAAGTGTGGACCTCATTCCTCCTCCCCCCAATATTTTCAAATAAGGGAGAAATATCCATTGTGGTTTCAAAGGAGAAAGGAATCATGAGGCTACTGGGGGAAGGAGTCGAGGGGCAGATAGGAGGGGCTGGCAGTCACGCCAGGCTTCTGGTGCCTGAGTGGGCCCACTGGGCTGACTTTATGGCTTCCAGCCTTAGAGATTTTCAGCCTCCTCCACTCCCTCACCCCTTCCTTGCCACACAGCACCATCCCCTGCCCAGCCCCTAGTGTGGGCAGGTTGCTGGTAGGTGCCCAAAGAACGGCACCGCTGGCCCCCCTGACCTCCCTCCCTGCCTTCTTCTGGTCAGATGACAACGAGTGTCTGAGGGACCCCTGCAAGGGAAAAGGGCGCTGCATCAACCGCGTGGGGTCCTACTCCTGCTTCTGCTACCCTGGCTACACTCTGGCCACCTCAGGGGCGACACAGGAGTGTCAAGGTAAGCCAAGCCCGCCCTTGCCCTTGGCCAGGCCCCACAGTCTTGAGGGGGTGGAAGAGGAACCAGGGGTTCACACCCCCAAACACCGTGCCGCAGAATGGGGAGTGGGCAGCTGAAGGAGTGAAGGAGGAGAGACCAGAACTCCAGCCTGGATCTGGGAGGAGGCTGATTCTATGCCAGTGGCAAGGAGGGGTAGAAATCCAAAAACCAGCAATCTCTGCAAAGGCCCTAAGGAATTGTGGGTGGAACCAAGAGTGTCACAGGGTCAGGAGACATGGCTGGAGATGAGGATTATGCAGCAGGCCCCCAAACTCCGAGTGACAAGGAGCTGGTTTCATGTCAGGGAAGGAGGGAGACCCATAAGGATGCCAGGCTGGGACTACTGGCAGACCTGGGAGTAGGTGTGCCTTTGAACGAGGAGCACGGCTCCTCAGCAGCTTGGAGGCACTTGTAGGGCTTTGCACTTCCCTGGGAAGATGTGATGTGGCCCACTGCCAGGGGACCCTTGATAAATACGCTCCCAACGCAAACCCTTTAATGATGCAAAACACCCCACATACATTTTTTTCCACATACATTTTTATGATTAAGTTCACAAATAATATAATGCAGCACTTTCTAAGCAACACCTTAAGATTCATAATCCAGTTGTAAATCCTTCACCTCAAGAGGGACCCTGCCTGTGCTTGGGGCTCACATTGCTGGTTCTGGCCAGACCCCCAGGGAGGCCAGGGAAGCTGTGTACCCTCCTGCTGCCAGGATCCCCTCGGGTTCCAATCCCCCAAGGGTCCAGTTTACAGAAACCAAAGCCATCCAGGTCCAATCACTTGATTATGGAGGGAAGGGAAGTAGAAGGGGCAGACCTCCTAACTTAACGGAGGAGCGGGAGAATCACGGGTAGTGTTCATTATGCTCTCATGCGTTGGCACCACCTATGTGCCAGGCACTGTGCCAAGCTCTGAGGATGCTGAGATGAGTGAGGTGTGAATGGTGACACTGTAGGATCCAGATGAGGAGCAAGTTGTTCTGTATGAGATTATTCGGGTACTCGAGATGGAGCAGAATAAAAATAGCTACCATTCATTCATTCATTCATTCATTCATTCATTTATGATGGAGTCTCGCTCTGTCACCCAGGCTGGAGTGCAGTGGCACAATCTTGGCTCACTGTAACCTCTGCCTCCTGGGTTCACGCCATTCTCCTGCCTCAGCCTCCTGAGTAGCTGGGACTACAGGCGCCTGCCACCACGCTCGGCTAATTTTTGTATTTTTAGTAGAGACAGGGTTTTACCATATTGGCCAGGCTGGTCTCGAACTCCTGATCTTGTGATCCACCCGCCTCGGCCTCCCAAAGTGCTGGGATTACAGGTGTGAGCCACCACACCTGACCAAGAATAGCTACCATTTAATGAGCACTTAATATATGCTGGCAATGTCCCAAGCATTTTGTTATATGAAGCTCATCATCCCAACTCCATGTTATGGAAATCCTTAGCCCCATTTAATAGTTTAGCAAACTGAGGCTCAGAGGTGAATTGAAATACCCAGGGGCCTCAAACCTAGTGGTGACAGAGCTAGAAACAGAATCAAATCACTCTAGCTCCAAAGCATGGTTTGCTTCCAAAGACACACTCCCTTACACACAGGGTGTTGGAGCATGAATAGGAATGGAGCGTGAATAGGAATTGAGGGAGCAGAGGGTATTCCAGGTAGAGAGAAGCATCTTTGCAGAGACCTGAATAGTGAACGTTCCCTGGCATGCTCTGGGAATAATCATGAATGCAGTATGACTGGAGCAGGGCTACCTGGAGGAAGAGGCCAGTGTGGGAAATGTCTTGAGTGCCAGGCTGAAGCGCTTGGACACTGTCTCACAGGCATGGGTAGCCAGTAGAAGTCTGTGAGCAGAACAGTGGTGACTGGGTCAGCTGACTTCCGGGGAGCTGACTTAAGGGGCAGGGCTCAGAACAGGCTGGAGGAGCCAGGAGAGAGGCTGAGGGAAGGAGGCTTCTCTGGGCTCCAATCGTCTAGGTGGGTGTTGTGGGCCAGAGGCACTGCTCTTTGCAGACCCAGCCTGGGGAGCTGGCCTGGGATAAGCAGCAGCTGCTGCAGAGAATGGTGTCACCAGGACTGGTGCAGACACAAGTTTCTGCCACCGTGCCAGCCTGGGTGTCCAAGATGTCTCTGCCAGCCCCAGCAGCTGGGGAACGGGGATGGGGTTCAAGGCTGGCTCTAAGTACTTCTCCCAGTGGGGCTTGGGTACCACTGGAAGAGGCCTTGTCCAGAATAACACCCACTTTCTGAAGCTTCCCAGTCTCATAAAGTAATATCTCATTACCTCAATGATTTGATATTTATATCTATTTATAGATTATTTAAATAATGTATATATAATTAATATAAATCATAATTTATATTATCAATAAGATAAATTATTTACATATTAAATATCTAAGTAAATGTTTACCAATAAATGTAAGCATCTCTTCATACATTAGCCTGTGGGTTTCCTCATCTGTAAACTGCTGGCTCCCATTTTTGCTCAGTTTTCCAATGGTGGTTGCTGCTTTTTCCTGGGGCTCTTTAGGAGTCCGTTATATATTCTAGATTCTTGGCCGGGTTTAGAAATTGCAATGCTCCCATTTTGTCCTCTATCCTTTAAGCTTATCTACATTTCTTGGAACAGAAATCCTTAATTTTGATTTACTGAAATTCACCATTTTGCCTTATTTTTGTGTGTTTTGGGGGCTTTGTTTAAGAAATCCTTCCATATCCTGAAGTCATAAAGATATTCTCCTATACCTTAATTGAGTTCTAGTTTTCCCTTTTATGGTATGCTTTGATTCATCTGGAGTCCATCTTCATATGGCTGTTAAGAACCTGGTCTTTCTCTATTCACGTCTCCATTTTTCTCCATGGAGTGAGGGAGTTTTCCAGCACCATCTATCAGACAGTCGTCCTGACCTCAGGGGATAATGAGTTCTTCATCCAGTTCCCACATACGGCTCTGTCTATGAGTTCCCTTCTCTCTTCCATTGGGGTTAGAGCTTCTCACAGTGAACACCAGTTATTCCAGAATTGCCTGAAGAGCTATAACAGCGTGGGTTCCTGGGCCCACCAGTACAGCAGGATCAGAATCTCTGGCTGTGGGCCTAGGAGTGTGCATTTCCCACCTTCTGGCAGAGACTTTGCTGTGCACTGGAGTTTTATGAAGTATTGCTCAAGTGAAGACACTGTCCTTAAACAAATGGTTATTATTCAATTCCTTCAGTAAGCACTTATTGGGGTTCTGTGCTGGGCACTGGAGATGCTGAGATAATAAGGCATGTTCCCATTAGTCAGGGAGAAGCAAGTAAATGAACAGGTACACTGAAAGCTGGGCCCTCAGGGGACGCTGGGTTGGAGATAAGTGGGAGGCAGTCACACTGGTGTGTAGGAAGCTGTTCCAGGCAAGGGGACAGTGTGGGCAGAGGCTCAGGAACAGGTCCTGAGGTTAGGCGAGGGTAGGAGAGGTGCGGGCGGCAGGAAACAGATGAGAAGCAGGCTGGGGCCGGTCATGCAAGATCTCACACGCCAGGCTTGAGGAGCTGGGATTTTATGGGGTTTAACACTAGGATAATAATAGCTAACATTTCTGCAGTGCTTACCTTATGCCAGGTGGGCACAGTGCTCAACCCCTCACCTGGATTATTGTATTTAATCTGCACAAGGACTCTGTGAAGTGTTTGTATCAGTCCCAGTTTAAGGGGGAGAGTGGGAAGGTGAGGCCTTGATTAATTTGACTGTGGGGACAGGGGATGGGGACCCACAGGACCCAAAGGTGATGCATTAAACCAGTCCTTGAAATGGGGGCAGGGATTTGCTGGCCATCGTGAGGAAAGAGACTCCAGGTGGAAGCATTTGTGTGAACAAAGGCTTGGAGATTGGACTGCTGAAATCTGCAATAGCTGAGGCTATACCAAGGGACTTGTGTGAATTAGCAAATACAGCAGAGCTGGGCCAGCTGGCAAAGGCCTTGTGAGCCAAGCTGCGAACAGAACTGGAGGTAGCAGGGGTCTCTGGTAGGAGTTTAAGCAGTGGAGGGGCGTGAGTGGGGTTGGGCTTTAGATGATGGGACACCAATATACTTTGGAAAAGTGACAGAAACCACACCCTACAGATCCATGGTTACCTAAAACGCAATCCCTCACTGGCTGCTTGGTTCCTAACCTTTATGAAGGTCCTTAGGAAGGACTCCAGGAGGCCAGGTGCAGTGGTTCATGCTTATAATCCCAGCACTTTGGGAGGCTGAGGAGTGTGGATCACTTGAGGTCAGGAGTTCAAGACCAGCCTGGTCAACATAGTGAAACCTCATCTCTACTAAAAATACAAAAAAATTAGCTGGGTGTGGTAGCGGGCACCTGTAATCCCAGCTACTTGGGAGGCTGAGGCAGGAGAATCGCTTGAGCCAGGGAGGCAGAGGTTGCAGTGAGCCGGAGGTTGCAGTGAGTCAAGATGGCGCCATCGCACTCCAGCCTGGGCAACAAGAGCGAAACTCCGTCTCAATAAATAAATAAAGGAAGAAAGGAAGGAAGGACTCCAGGAGCAGACCCGAAGGGGATATAGTGGGGCCAGGAGCGGGGTGGGAGTCCTTTTGGCCTCTGCAGTTTATACTGTATGGACTGCTACCCCACCTCCAGATCAGCCCTTGCATGAGGGTGAGGAAACAGTTGTAAGGATCCCCATGGGTCCCCAGAGTAGACTCCCCTGAGAGAAAGGAACTCAGGTTTATCAGGGGCCTGAGCTAGATCATTTCAGACCTGGCCCAGGAGCCCCTCCAGGCAATTGTGGCTGCAGCCAGCATGCCTTCCCTGCCCAGGCCTCAGCATGGCATCCTTTGTCCTTGGCCTCTAGAAGGAATGCTCCAGGACCCCGCCCCCTCCACCATCCTCCAGGGCTGGCTGTGACTCAGGGCTTTTCTGTGTGTTCACAGATATCAATGAGTGTGAGCAGCCAGGGGTGTGCAGCGGGGGGCAGTGCACCAACACCGAGGGCTCGTACCACTGCGAGTGTGATCAGGGCTACATCATGGTCAGGAAAGGACACTGCCAAGGTAAGGAACGGGAAGGAGGGAAGCGCCCTGCCACCCCACCACCCACCTGTCCCTCCCTACGCACTGCCCACCACCAACACGCCTTCTGGCTTGTCTCTGCCCTGGCCCCTTGATGCTGAGCCCACGTCTATGGACAGAGACACCTATGAGAATTCCTGAGCCCTTCCATCCCCTCAGTGACATTCTGGCATCCTGTCTGCCACCTGCAGCAGGGGAGCATGAACAACTTTATCCACATGACACCTTAGGAACATCTCCTCTGTAACCTCCGCCCTGTTGCCTTGAAAAATGTGCTCTTCTCATGGGGCAGAGGAAGAGTCGGTGTGTCTGGGAGTGTCAGCCTTCTTATTAAGCTTGTTAGATTGTTAGCTCCTGAGGGCTGGGCCATATCTTTAGATGGCCCATACATGGACAACTGATAAGCACCCAATAAATGCTAGAGGAAGGAAGGAAGGAAGGGAGGGAGGGAGGGATTCCAGATCCTTCTGTCTTTCCCAGACCCAGCCAGAAGGCGCTGTGACATTGCTAACTGGTCTCCTCACAGACCCTTGCCTGTCTCGTGCCAGCTCTGAAGACCCCTGGCAGCTTTGCTGCCACCACGTCCCTGTCAGGCTGGGGTGTCACAGGCTTGTAGGAGGCCCAGGGCATTTGCTCTCGAGACTGGCTGGGACAGGAAGAAATGAGGGTAAATCCAGGCGCAGTCCAAGAAGAACCTGGCCCTGGGTCCGAGCTTAGGCTGAGACTCCTCCCAGCCTCCAGGTTTCCCTGGCTGGGACTTGCCTGCTTTCAGAAGGGCCTGGAAGTCAGAGAAGAGCTTGTGTACTTTGTGAAAGGACAGCTTCCCTTCCCAATACCACTACCATGGAAGCGAAGTCCAGAGAAGCAAAGGGGAGAGGTTGCGGCAGGTGCAGGACAGACAGCTCTGCCTTCAGCCCCAGTGTGTCACCTCCCAATGCCTCCCTCTTGGTCCTCCCCCTTTAAAACTCAGGCCTACCCATGACCAAAGCCGGAACCCACCTGCCTTGTCCTCCTTAGCACGATGGAGATAAGACAGCCTGGCATCTTCAGGAGAATGGAGAATGATGGCACCCACCACTGACAGGTGCCTCCTGTGTCCCAGGTGTCTGGGTTAGGTCCTCAATAGATTACCTCATTTAAGCATCATAATGACACTGTGAATTTGACATTAGACTTTATCAAAAAGAGAAGTAAAATGAGAGGAAATGAATCAAGAAAATACCAGAACATTAAAAACATCAGGTTTAGGCTGGGCGCGGTGGCTCACATCTGTAATCCCAGCACTTTGGGAGGCCGAGGCAGGTGGGTCACTGGAGATCAGCAGTTCAAGACTAGCCTGGCCAACGTGGTGAAACCCTGTCTCTACTAAAAATACAAAAATTAGCTGGGCGTGATAGCACATGCCTGTTATCCTACCTACTTGCGAGGCTGAGGCAGGAGAATCACTTGAACCCAGGACGTGGAAGTTGCAGTGAGCCGAGATCACGCCACTGCACTCCAGCCTGGGCAATAGAGTGAGACTCTGTCTCAAAAAAAAAAAAAAAAAAAAAATCAGATTTATATTAACCAGTCTGTGTGAAGGGCACAGGCTCTGGTGCAGACAGGCTTGGGTTTGGCTTTTGACGCGATGTCTGGAAATTGAACTGTAATGCCCATCTCAGAGATGTTTGTGAGCACCGGATAAGCTAATGTATACAAAGTGCTAGGCACCGTCTGGCACATACAGACCTTGAATAAGTAGAGGGAAATGTTACTGTCAGAGGGTAGTTCTTTTTCATGTCCAGGCTCCCCCATACCCCAGCCCTCTCCTTCCCTTCCCAAGGAAAGGTTCTAGACACACACCTCATCTGGGAGGTCAGGCAGAGTTCCTGGCCCAGGGCAGACACTCCGAGTCTGTTGAAAGAAAGAATGATGTAGCCCGCACACTTCTCCAGGTTTCCATCGGTAACCACAAGCCCGGCCCATCACCCTGGGAGCCCAGTCAATTTCCTCTCCCTCTTTCTTCTTTCTCCAACTCAGAAACCACTCTCGCCACTGAAACTGAAAGTCTCTGGTGAAAGGCTGAGTGGTCTGGACAGAGGCCCGTCCAGCAGTCTCAACGGCATTTCCGTCGTACCGGGACTCCAGGTTCCCACGGACAGGGGATAGACTTCCCTGCAGACTGCCAGGGCCTTTGGTGTCGCCCAGCCATAACCAAGGTCACTTGAGCTTCTGGCCCCTGCCTGAGTGCCTTCCCTACCCCCACCGCATGCTCTCACAACCACCAGAAGTGAATGCCTTTATATTTCCTCATCCAAAGGCTGATCTGTGGTTAGAGAAGCTCCAGGATTCTCCCAGCGAACCAACAGAAGCTTGGCAAGCTGGTCTCTGGATTGATTGTTGCCATGGGCCCTTTGGGGTCTCTTCAGCAGCCTTATACCAAAAAGATGAAGGGTGAAGTTTGAGGCATACTCTCCCACTCTTTGGTTAGCAAACATTTGTTGAGCACCAGCTGTGTCGGCCATGGGCTGGGAACACAGGAAGAAGGCAGATGGCTCCTGGCTTCAAAGACAGAATATTAAAACCCTCCAAAACACACCGTAATCTCAGATTAACATTCATACCCTAGGCCAGGCAGAAAAACTGGAATATTTCTGCATCCAGTGACTGGTTCCAGTCCAGGCACCAAGATGCTGGTGGGACAGCCTCAGAGTAGCTGGTAATAGAATCTGCTTCATTCGGAATCTTCCTCTGGCTCCTTTGGATTGGCTTGGCTAATGGTTCAGTTATATTCACTTCCACCAAGGAGAGCCCTTCCCTGGCTCGGGTGGAGAATGAGGGGCTGCTTTCATCATCTGCCCTCCCCCTCCCATTCACGTGTGATAATCACTGGCTGGGGCTCTGGTCTGAGGAAGGAAGCCAGCAGTGGCATGCCAAGATAGACAAGGTTATGCTGCGTTAACAAACAACCCCTATCTTATTGACATAGCAGCCAAGTTTGTTTGTTTGTTTGTTTGTTTGAGACAGAGTCTCGCTCTGTCACCCAGGCTGGAGTGCAGTGGTGTGATCTTGGCTCACTGCAACCTCCTCCCCCACCGGGTTCAAGCGATTCTCCTGCCTCAGCCTCCCGAGTGGCTGGGACTACAGGTGCCCACCACCACACCCGGCTAATTTTTGTATTTTTAGTAGAGATGGGGTTTCACCATTTTGGCTAGGCTAGTCTTGAACTCCTGACCTCAGATGATCCGCCTGTCTTGGCCTCCCAAAGTGCTGGGATTACAGGCGCGAGTCACCATGCCCAGCAGCAGCCAAGTTTCTATCTCATCAGTGCCACATGTCCATCAAGGGTCAGCTGGGGGCTCTGCCCCATGTTTCCTCATTGGAGATGTAGGCTAAAGGAATAGCCAGTCTCTGTGGAAGAATAAAAGAGCACTCTGGAGGGTTGCACAAATTAAATGGTTTGGTCCATAAATTATCCGTATCATACGCACTCACAGTTCGTTGGCCCTCACTAGTCTCATGGCTCCACCCAACCACAAGAGACTAGGAAGCACCAGATTACCATGGTGCAGAAAGTGGAGAGCTGGAATGCCACATGCATCCTAAATGCCCAGCATTAAGACACTACACACACCACCTCCAAGAGATGTGCCCAGCATGTTTGGGGCAGGACAGACTTCAGGGCCCTTTGCTCCTGGCAAACCTTATCTCCTTCCCACGTTGCCTGATCCCTGCAGGAAAGGTCCAAAGACTTCATTTTTCCTGGCATGGATTTAGGAGGAGCTTTGCCTCAATCTCGTTCTCTTCATCCTGGAAGAGATCATCTGGCATCCCTGAAACAGGGATTGCTGCTCATTCTCAGTGGCTTTGCCCATCCTCCTTCAAGTACCTTGGCCAAGGCCAACAGGTCATGGCACTGGCCTCTGTCTCTTGGGTGGCCAAAGTTAGTCATCTTAGATCCTTCATTTTATCCATCTCTGTCTTTACAGAAGCCCTTAGAATAGTTAAGGCTGGTGTCACCACAACTCAAGTAGGGGCTGGGGCTACCCTCTTGCCAGAGATGCGCCTTATCTCAGTGTCCCCAAGATTATATGGGAGTTGTGGGACTCTCCTTGCAGAGACCCACCTGAAAACCACCTGCCCTGTGGCGATGTCCCCGTCTTCTGGACCCTCAGGCAGAAGCTTTAGGCTTGAGAGGGTCCCAGTCCTCTGGGACAGAGGGCTTCGATGTGTCCTGACTTCTGGAAGCCAAACAACCTCAGAGAGGACTCACTTTCACCCTCCACTTTAAGGTCCATGTCCTCTCCTCTCCATGTCCAGCAGCAGTGACAGCTGCTGGCTTTAGTCCCTCTGCAGAAAGCCTATGTTCAGACCCTAGGCCTGCCTCCCACACTTCCTCCATAGGTGCTGAGTAGGTCCTCCTCTCGGGCAGTAGAGCCTCTAAATATGCATAAGCTGGTGGACTTCCTCTAGAAGAATGACAATTACCCATTTAGGAAGAAGAACCCCTCCTCTTTCCTTGGCCAATGGACCTGTTGTGAAGAGTGGGCCAGAGCCTTGATACCGGGCCAGAGGGGCATAATGTCCTCCTGCAGTGCTGACTCAGAGTTCAGTCCCTGTGACAGGACCTCCCTCACTCAGTCCAGGTCCCCTGGGTGCCTTGATGATGAAGCCCATGATATGCCAGGTTATGTCGGGGAAGAGCCCTCTCCTCGGCTCCGGGGAGAACTAGCTCCCTCCTCTTCCTGTTGCCACTCTCCCTTCCTGGGTCCTCTCGTCCCCTGGGTGTCCATTTGGTGTCCAGGCTTAACCCTTCTGGCTGACTTTCCTGGATCTCACCAGAGTGGGTGCCAGGATCCCTACATGATTCTTGGCTGGAAGAAATGTCTGACAGCTCTCCAGCAGAGAAGCTTTGCCAGCTCTACCCTACAGTCTGCACTCTGCCTCAGAGCTGGTCTTGGCCATATCCAAGATTGGGGGTTCCTCCATGGTCCTCATTTCCTGGTGCAAGGAAGCCCAAGTTGCCTTCACTGCCCCTCCGATGATCTATTGTGGAGCCTCTGGCAATCCAGTTAGCTGCTGTGCCAAGCACATCCCAGTAATGGTCACTGCTTATAAAGGATTAGGAATTCGCCAGGGGAGAGATGAAAGCCCATCCCCAACAGCCCAGCTCACAAAGTGGAGCCTCTGACCCTCCCACAGCTGGTGGTAACCATAGCCTACTGCACCCACCCAGGGAGTCTCCCTTTCTAATTTTTAAGTTCTTCCATCTCCCTCTTTTGTCCCAGACGGTGGGTGAGAGGTGGAGTTGGGAACACAGGGCAGCTCTCATTCTTTCCTAGTTTCCCTCTGTCCATCCCTCTCCCCAACCAAAGGCAGGGACAAGGATTTGCTGTGTCACAGACCTACCCATTTGCTATGTTCCCAGGGATGACCAAGGGAGGGGCTGCTGTTTTGCAGATATCAACGAATGCCGTCACCCCGGTACCTGCCCTGATGGGAGATGCGTCAATTCCCCTGGCTCCTACACTTGTCTGGCCTGTGAGGAGGGCTACCGGGGCCAGAGTGGGAGCTGTGTAGGTGAGGGCTGCTGGCCAAGGCACTGAGCCAGCCATTCGGCCTTGGGACCTCTGGTTGAGCCCACACACGGAAAGGGAAAGAGGTGGGCAGAGGGAGGTGGCTTGGAGGCTGTTGTCCTCCATGATCTAGCTGGGTTCCCAGATGACGCTGGGCATGAGTCGCCAGGGCTCTGCCCTCTGAATCAGCTAGGGTGGGGCCCTTTTCTCCTCTTTGGCCATATTCATTCTGGAGTGACTGCCCAAAGTCCCAGCAGCTTCTGTAGCTGGATCCTGTGGTGGAGCGAGGAGCCTAAGGGTCTTAGGATGGGGCCAGGCCCTTCTGCAGTTCCCAGGGAGGAAGGGTCTCCTGCTCTTCTGCATCTCAAAAGCAGCGTCTAAACTGCACGCCCACCGCACAGCGGGGCGCTCCTCCCTCAGAAGGGCAGCAGGTCTGCAGTAGGAGGCGTGTGCTCTTTTCCTGCAGCCCCCTCAGGAAGAAAGGCTCAGGGTTCAGAATGCTGGGAGGGACTGAGTGTTGAATAGACGCTTTGAGGCTCTGGAGAGGGCAGACGTTTCCCAGGCCCTCAGGGCTGCCACTCAGCCACCTCGGCATGACTGGCCTCTCTCCACGCTGCCCGCCCACCCGCAGAAGCTGCTTGTTGGGTTGGGATCGTGGGTTGTTTGGTTGGCCGGTAGGAGGTCATGTAGGGTTCCTGGCACACACAATGAGGGAAGTCAAGGGTCTTGGACACCTCATTTCAAGTATCCTCAGATGAGCCAAACCAGCCCCAGGGCGGGGAGACCTGGCCCCCTGCGTGGATACATGCAGAGTGCTCTGAGTTACTAGATAGGGCTGAAGTGAGCCCGGGGGATGGGACGCCCTGCCCTGCCTAGGTGGGAGGAGGGAGCATGGCCTCATGGCCTCCCCAGGTGGCCTGCGGCCCCTCTGAAGGCTGGTTCCCTGGCCTCATAACTGAGATGCTTGGAGCCTGCCAGCGGGGGCTGCAGGATGGGGAGGAGGCCAGCCCACCGTCTTGGACTTCTCTCCCACAGATGTGAATGAGTGTCTGACTCCCGGGGTCTGTGCCCATGGAAAGTGCACCAACCTAGAAGGCTCCTTCAGATGCTCTTGTGAGCAGGGCTATGAGGTCACCTCAGATGAGAAGGGCTGCCAAGGTACAGAGATGCTGAAGCGCCCCTTCTCCGCAGGCCGATCCAGCTTGTGGCTCCCTCCCCTCTGCACACCACCCTTGGCCCCCTGAATCCACCCCTGGCCTTGCATCCCTATTCACACTGACCCAACACATCCCTGCCCAGACCTGTCCTTCCCCCACCCCTGCCTACCTGCCAGTGTCCTGGCCTGTCTGTCCTGCAGAGTCCCACACAGAATGCAATGCCCTATTTCAGATGTGGATGAGTGTGCCAGCCGGGCCTCATGCCCCACAGGCCTCTGCCTCAACACGGAGGGCTCCTTCGCCTGCTCTGCCTGTGAGAACGGGTACTGGGTGAATGAAGACGGCACTGCCTGTGAAGGTAACCCTGGGGAGGCAGTGGTGGAAGGGGACAGAATATAGGCTGTCTTACCTCCCAAAGAACACTCAATTTGTCCCCAGTTTGGGGCTGATGCCGAGGGGCTCCAGGCTAGGCTAGAAGACCCCATAAATGGACCTGGCCCCAACAAGAGCTTCTATTGTCATAATCCCCAAGTTCAGAGTGAGGACAGGAGGAAAAGCCAGTCCCAGAGAAGAGGGAAGCTGAGGGCAGGGCTGTCCTGGGAGCGTTCTAGGGAGGGGGTTTTAGGAAAGCCCCAGGGGCTCAGAGAGGGAAGCCACGGTGAGGTTCCTGCATTGCCTGGGGAGTGGGAGCCCTCCTAGGTCCCCGGGCGAGCGCTGTCTGTCTGCAGACCTAGATGAGTGTGCCTTCCCGGGAGTCTGCCCCTCCGGAGTCTGCACCAACACGGCTGGCTCCTTCTCCTGCAAGGACTGCGATGGGGGCTACCGGCCCAGCCCCCTGGGTGACTCCTGTGAAGGTATGAGCCTCTGTGTGGGAGAGGATACAAATGGGATGCCCCCTCTGTCAGGGCCATGGTGAAGCCCAGCAGGTGGGGGGCTGCTGAGGCTGGAGGAGCTGCCATCATCCCGCTCCCCAAGAGTCGCTCACAAGCTTGTCCCAGCTGTGCTGCCTCATGAGGGGATGATCCCCCGTGGGTCCAGCTCTGCAGGCAGGTGACAGGTCCTCTGGAGACTTCCCCCTTGACTCCTGTCCTTGGGAGGTGCTGCCATCGGCTGTCTTCCTCCCCTGTGTGGCCCTGCAGATGTGGATGAATGTGAAGACCCCCAGAGCAGCTGCCTGGGAGGCGAGTGCAAGAACACTGTGGGCTCCTACCAGTGCCTCTGTCCCCAGGGCTTCCAGCTGGCCAATGGCACCGTGTGTGAGGGTGAGTGACCCAGGTCACCCTACTGGGGGTGGGGGGCATGAGTGTGTGGGGAGGCAGGCACATCCCCAGCAGACACCCACTCCCCATCTTTTCCCTGCAGATGTGAATGAGTGCATGGGGGAGGAGCACTGCGCACCCCACGGCGAGTGCCTCAACAGCCACGGGTCTTTCTTCTGTCTGTGCGCGCCTGGCTTCGTCAGCGCAGAGGGGGGCACCAGCTGCCAGGGTGAGAAGCCAGCACAGCTACCTCTACTGGCCAGGAGCATGGGAAGCCAGCACAGCTACCTCTACTGGTCAGGAGCATGGGCGCTACAGGCTAAGACTAGAGTGGTGTCCCTTTTAATACCAGTACTGAGAGCAAGTGCTCACGGCCCTGCCCAGGGAGGAGAAGATGGGAGCGAGGAGTGATGTGAGGGAGCCCGGGGCTCAGGGAGGGAGGGACTCAGTCTCTCACCAGGGCCTCTTCACGACGTTGACAGCAGGCATGCACCCACTCCAAACTCCGAGTGTCACTTCTCCCCTTTACAGAGCTCCAGTCCCAGGGACCCCACCTCACCCCTCACCCCCACCCCGGTGCCCACCTCCCACAGCCTGGCCTCTGGCTTCGAGCCTTTTCCTACATAAGCCACTCCCTGACTCTCCTATGGGCTACTCAGGGCCCAGAGGAAGCTACACAGGACCCTAACAGGGAAGGGACCCGTGGCTGGGTCTGCTGACAGCCATCTCTACTCTAGATGTGGACGAGTGTGCCACCACAGACCCGTGTGTGGGAGGGCACTGTGTCAACACCGAGGGCTCCTTCAACTGTCTATGTGAGACTGGCTTCCAGCCCTCCCCAGAGAGTGGAGAGTGTGTGGGTAAGGGCTCTGGGGGGAGGGCACAGGGCTCTGCCCACATCTGCCCATCTCTACACTGCCTGGTCCTTAGCTCCCATGGAGCAGAGCACTTTCCACAGATGAAGTGTCCAACAAATAGTGTATGTATTGAGACTCAGGGCTCAGGGGCTGTCCAAGGATGACAAAATGAAGACAATCATCATCTTCGTGCTGGCAGAGCACACAATCTAGTTTTAAAGGCCAAATTGATTCAATAGACATTAAACACCTGCTATGCTCAATGTCTTTTGCTAGGACAAATAGACAGTTATGGATGATCTTGAAAGCAAGGGAGACAGATATGAAGACAACTCTCTGTAATACACTATGCTGAAGGCTTCGTGTAAAGAGAAGTACAGTGCTCTGCTGGTAGGGATAGGAGACAGATGGGGGCAGTGGAGGAAAAGGAGTGTCACAGAAGGGCAGGAGCTCACTGCTTCCTAAATAGCATACGGTTCTCTTCCCAGAGGCTCAGCCCTGCAGGGTCAGGGGAAATCGTCCTGACCTTGATGTGCTGGGGTTGGGATGAGCACAGTAATTTGGAATAGATCAAGAACCCCAGAGGTTGTGGGGCATGACCCTGTGGGACCACAGCAGTGACCTGGCCACCTCTGTCCTCTCTCATGGCATGGCTCTGGGGACAGATATTGACGAGTGTGAGGACTATGGAGACCCGGTGTGTGGCACCTGGAAGTGTGAAAACAGCCCTGGCTCCTACCGCTGTGTTCTGGGCTGCCAGCCTGGCTTCCACATGGCCCCGAACGGAGACTGCATTGGTGAGTAGGGAGGGAGGAGAGAGAGGAGAGAGGGCTGAGAAAACCTATTTTTCACATATTGAGCGAGACATGATTTTCTCCTGAGGACACGATTTTTTGCAGCTGATTGTAGCTTGTATATTTTCCATCCAGCAGAGCTTATGAAAGATGCCACAGGACTGTGAATGTTAGGATTTTCTTATCCTGGGTTGAGAGGCTGCTTTTCACAGGTCTTGGTGCTAATAAGCCAAATAAGTATTCTCAGCAGAGAACGAGAGAGTGTGCATGCGTGTGAGAGAGTGAGCACACACGCGCGCGCGCACACACACACACACACACACACACATCCTCTATCCTGGTTCCCACTGTCCCACAGACATAGACGAGTGCGCCAACGACACCATGTGTGGCAGCCACGGCTTCTGTGACAACACTGATGGCTCCTTCCGCTGCCTCTGTGACCAGGGCTTCGAGATCTCTCCCTCAGGCTGGGACTGTGTGGGTGAGGAGCCTGTGGGCTACCCAAGGTCTGGGCCAGGGAAGGGAAGGCCCTGGGGTCCTCCTCCTCAACTGGTCCTGGTCACGTGGCTCCATCACGGGTCCCCAGAGCATGGGCAAGGGAGGCTTCAAAGAAGAGGGAGACTTCAACTCCTCGCCCAGGGGCACATGGGCCGGGCGGGTAAGGGGAAGCACAGCCGCGCTCTGCCAGCAGGGCAGCAGGTGTCCTCAAGCCTCAGAGCCTCAGGAGGCAGGAGGTTTGGAGAATGTGCACTGAGGGGTAACCCTTCCTCTTTGTGCACTTCTGTGACCGTTTGCTGCCACTCCTCTCCTTTTTTCTTCTTTCCCATGCCCTCTGTCCATTGGTTCCTCCTCCCTACAAATCTATACTTACTCTTGTTTCTTCCCCAAGGCCTAGCCTGCTTCTTTTGGGGGCAGTGGGCTGTAGTCAGGGGCAGGGGGCACGGGCTGCCTCTTTTCTGCCCACGAGCCTGTTCTCACACCTGGCAGATGTGAACGAGTGTGAGCTTATGCTGGCGGTATGTGGGGCCGCGCTCTGTGAGAACGTGGAGGGCTCCTTCCTGTGCCTCTGTGCCAGTGACCTGGAGGAGTACGATGCCCAGGAGGGGCACTGCCGCCCACGGGGGGCTGGAGGTGAGGCCTGGGAGACACATTATCCATGGTGACTCAGAGGTTTACAGAGAGCGTGTCCCTCTGCATCCCTCTACTAGCCTCTAGCCGCTGAGGGGGACACTGGGCCAGGGCCTGGGGCAGCATAGGGAGGTGCAGGCGGGGCCTGGTGCATGGAGGGGTGAGGAGGCTGAGGGCCGCGCGCAGCAAAACCAGGAGCTACAGGGTGGCGACGATCCTAGAGGAGGCTCAGGAAACCCTGATGCTGACTTAGGGTGGCCCCAGGGACCGCAGATTGAGCCTTGGAGGGACCCTGAATCCATCTAATCCCTGGGAACCTTCTGGATGAGAGAGGACTTGGAGCTGAACTAAACCGGGCTCTCCCTTTCCCACTTCCCACTCCACCCGAGAGCTCCTGGGTTCAGCCTCTCACGCCAGGCTGGACTAGGACTCAGCTGGTCTTCACTGCCTTGGGGGAAAGTGAGGGAGACGAGGAAGGGTGGGAGGGGCTGGGGTACATGTGAAGCAGAATGGACCAGAGGGCTGCCCATATGGCATGCCAGGCACTGGGGGCAGCCCGTCCCAGGGAGGCAGGCAGCATGGTATACCGCAAAGCGCAGGGGAGGAGGAACTGGGGTCAGATCCCTGCTGCACTGCTTAATAGCTTAATCGCACAGCAGTGGCGAGGCCCCAAGCCTCTCTAAGCCTCAATTTCTTGAGATGATGATTAGGCCACTTCTTAGGGTTGTGGAGAGCCTCAGTGAGGTAATACAGGTAACAGAATTTTTTCCACTGTAAAGTGCTACACAAATGTTAAATTTAAGAAATAAAGTCAAGGACTATTGACCCCCCTTAGAGGGTCATGAACAGACAGTAATGAGCATCTGTCACGCACAGGTCAGAGTATGTCTGAGGCCCCAACGGGGGACCATGCCCCGGCCCCCACCCGCATGGACTGCTACTCCGGGCAGAAGGGCCATGCGCCCTGCTCCAGTGTCCTGGGCCGGAACACCACACAGGCTGAATGCTGCTGCACCCAGGGCGCTAGCTGGGGAGATGCCTGTGACCTCTGCCCGTCTGAGGACTCAGGTAAGACCCCAAGGGTTCCAGATCCTCGAAGGGTCAGCTCTGCAAGGTGACACTGAAAGAAGGGGAGAGAGGAAGGGGGCAGGGCCCTCCCCACTCTGAGCTGAAACGCCTCTCTACATAGCTGAATTCAGCGAGATCTGCCCTAGTGGAAAAGGCTACATTCCTGTGGAAGGAGCCTGGACGTTTGGACAGACCATGTACACAGGTAATCTGCTCCATCCTCTGCCCCAAACTCCTTCACCTGAGTGGGCCCTAGCCTGCTCCTCCACAGGGTCCCTGGGGAAGTTCTGCATCCAGCCCTGGCCTCGCAGGTTGCCTCCACCTTTTCTGTCCCAGGGCTGACTCCCTGCAGAGTGTTAGCTGGAAGTTCTGACTCAAGCTGCTCTTGGAGTGTCCACATGAGCCTCACCTCAGTTTCCCTGCTCTCCCAAGCTGCACCTCCAGAAACAAACTATGATGCCTTGACTAACTCTCACCCACAGCCACATGTGGGCACAGGGACAGAGTGGAGAGCACTGCTCTAGAGGCCAGAGGCTGCGCTCATCTCCCTGGCCGCACTGATGAGGCCAGAAACTCTGGGGAACACACACTCACAGTAGGATGGTCCAGGTACTGCGCCCCTCAGCACCCTAGTCCTGAAGCTAGTCTTGAGAAGGAAATGATGGAGACAGAGATTGCTTTTCTTGGGTGCTGGCTACACGCCGTGCACTTTTTTGAGCACCTCACACATATTAACACCTTTTCATCCTTACAACAACTCTAAGAGTATGTAGGAACCGGAGGCAAGGCGAACTTAAGCAACTTGCCCAAAGCCACCTAGTAAGTGGCAGAGCTGGGATTCAAACCCAGCCTGGCTTTGGATTCCCTGCTCTAGGTACCCCTCATACTGCCTCTCACCTTCCTCTCACCTCAGCTCTGCCTTCCACAGATGCGGATGAGTGTGTGATATTCGGGCCTGGTCTCTGCCCGAACGGCCGGTGCCTCAACACCGTGCCTGGTTATGTCTGCCTGTGCAATCCCGGCTTCCACTACGATGCTTCCCACAAGAAGTGTGAGGGTAAGGACACACATGATCCCTGCCCCCACCCCAGGCCCACAGCTGAATAATGGCCCACCCAGCCCCTGCCAGCCAGTCCCATTATTGCTGAGAGTCCCCCTTCCTAGGGAGGCCGCCCACTGCAGCAGGCTGGTCCCAGGTGAAGGAGCTGTGGGCTGTCAGAGATTGTCCCCAGGAGGGCCTTCCAGGCTGGGCTGGGTTGAGGGGAGGGAGGCAGGGCACTAACTCTTCATTATCAGTGATAGGCAAACACCCTTCCCTGAGGGTGGTTGGTGGAAAGGCCACCTTGGCAATGCCCCACCCTTTCCTGCCTCCCCAGATCACGATGAGTGCCAGGACCTGGCCTGTGAGAATGGCGAGTGCGTCAACACGGAGGGCTCCTTCCACTGCTTCTGCAGCCCCCCGCTCACCCTGGACCTCAGCCAGCAGCGCTGCATGAACAGCACCAGCAGCACGGGTGAGTGGGCCTGAGCGTGGGGGAGCAGGAGAAGGGTACCTGGGCTGGGGGGCTCATGTGCCTCCGTGCCCTGTGCCACCAGAGGACCTCCCTGACCACGACATCCACATGGACATCTGCTGGAAAAAAGTCACCAATGATGTGTGCAGCGAACCCCTGCGTGGGCACCGCACCACCTACACGGAATGCTGCTGCCAGGACGGCGAGGCCTGGAGCCAGCAGTGTGCTCTGTGTCCCCCGAGGAGCTCTGGTGAGGGGGAGCAAAGGGGATACCCTGCAGGGCTGGGCCAGGCCCCAGGGAGGGGGATGCCCTCACCTTGGAACTGGGGATCTAGAAAGAAGGAGCAGAGCAAAGGCCCTGTCTTCCATCCCTGCTGTTTGGGGACAAAGTAGGGCAGGGGAGAGGTGGGGAGAGGAATGTTGCCAGGATCTCCCAGAGGGTACCAGTCCTTGCATGCTCCCAGAGACAAAGCCAGCCAGGCTTTAGCTGGCAGGAGCTAGAACCCAGCTCCTTCTCTCCCTCCTCCCTGACAGAGGTCTATGCTCAGCTGTGCAACGTGGCTCGCATTGAGGCAGAGCGGGAGGCCGGGGTCCACTTCCGGCCAGGCTATGAGTATGGCCCCGGGCCCGATGACCTGCACTACAGCATCTATGGCCCAGATGGGGCCCCCTTCTACAACTACCTGGGCCCCGAGGACACCGTCCCTGAGCCTGCCTTCCCCAACACAGCCGGTCACTCAGCGGACCGCACACCCATCCTTGAGTCTCCTTTGCAGCCCTCAGAACTCCAGCCCCACTACGTGGCCAGCCATCCAGGTCTGTGTTGCTGCAAAACTGGGGAAGAGGTGGGCACCAAAGCTGTTTCACTTCCATCTCCTCCACCTGCTAGTCATATTGCCAGCAGGGTGAGGACTGGGAAGGGGAAAGACACACCAAGCCAGAGGTCCCCGTTCACGGCTCGCTTGAGACAAGTACATACGCCCAGGTCCGACCCTAACAACTCCGTCATAAACTATCACAGGGACACAAAAAGGTACAGGACACTGCCCCTGTCCCAACCTACAAGCTTCCTGTGGGGACTGAGAGAGAGAGAGAAAGCTGTTCACTGCAGTCTTTTTCTCCCTCCACGCCACCTACAGGCTGCAGAATAACCTGCTCTAAGGACACCCAGCATTCACACTTGTGACCTGAAGTGTGGATTAAGGTTTTCTAAGGACTTTAAAGGCCCACCGTGATGACTCGGTTTGTGAATGGTGCGATCCAAACACTCAGGCCTTGGAGTCTAATGAGGAAGTCAAGCCTAGCACTGTGCCATGCACACGGTACCCACCACAGGCAAAGCTACCACATCAGACTAAAACCATACCTCTGGGTAGGGTGTGGCCTTTTCCATGGGGTGGAGGGGTGCTTAGGGAGTGAAGAGGGTTAGGTAGATCTGGTCAATGTTTTGCTTTGTGTTGAGTGAGGCCCCTCTGCTACCAATTGTTCCCCACTTCCCAAAAACACGATGTGAAGGTTTAAACAAAACACCTCACCCCTTCCCCACGCCCAAACCCAAAAACTATGTAGCAACACACTCCTCGACCACCCAAACCCCAGCAGGAGCCGGGCATTGTGGAAGCAGCGAGTCTCAGCCTCCCTGGAGCCCTCATTTGAAGCCCAGAGCACCTCTCCCCATCTAAAATGACACATACTTTTTTTTTCAAGAGTACTGCCTTTTGTTCTAGCATCTTTCCACAAGAATTTTATGATCCTCTCTGCCCCCACCCCCACAGTTCCACAGGGGCACCCTTTGTCCAGAAGGGCGAGGGTCCCAGCATTAGGGAGAGTCTGGACACAGCCCTCAGCCTCCTCCTCTCTCCGATTTCCTCCTCCCAGAGCCCCCAGCCGGCTTCGAAGGGCTTCAGGCGGAGGAGTGCGGCATCCTGAACGGCTGTGAGAATGGCCGCTGTGTGCGCGTGCGGGAGGGCTACACCTGTGACTGTTTTGAGGGCTTCCAGCTGGATGCGGCCCACATGGCCTGCGTAGGTAAGTGCAGAATTCTGATGGAGGAGTCAGGCTGGCCCACTGCCCACAGAGACGCCTGAACTCAGGAAGGCTGGAAGAGCCACTGCTGCCTCCTAGTGGGGCTGTCTGCATCAGGCTGGAAGGGAAGAAAGCGCCAAAGGAAGGTTTAATTATGTGCTTTAGAAAGCCCCTTCCGTGCAGGTTCCCAGACAAAAGACAAGGACAAGAGAGCACGGTCTTGGGCATGGTATGAGCTTGCTGCCCCCTGCTTTGTCCTTGAGTTGCTTGGTTTTGGGAAGTGACTTCAGCCTCTGGCTGTCACACTTAGGGTTTCACTCTAGGGCAGTGGCCAGGGCTTACTAACCAGAGAGGTGGAGGCAGCCAGCAGAGGCACCTGGGCTCCCTACAGCACTCTCCTTTGTTTCCTCTTAGATGTGAATGAGTGTGATGACTTGAACGGGCCTGCTGTGCTCTGTGTCCATGGTTACTGCGAGAACACAGAGGGCTCCTACCGCTGCCACTGCTCCCCGGGATATGTGGCTGAGGCAGGGCCCCCCCACTGCACTGCCAAGGAGTAGCAGTCAGGGGTCAGTGTGGCAACTACCTGGAAATGGCCTCCAGTCACAGGCAGGGGCCTTGAGGATGATTTCCTAGCTGGGAAGACACCGTGACATCAGGCCAGAGGTTTCCAATCAGCCTTGCCTGCTTTCATCTCTCCCAGCTTAGCCTCTGGCTGTAAGCTTCGGTCATTGCCTCCATGCCCTTGCTTGGCTCAAGCACCACCAATCGCTTTAATGCTTCAGCCACCGCATGAGGCCCTGTCCACCACCTTTCCTGGCCTTGCTATGGGATGCTTACCAAAGGATGGCCCTCATCCACCCTCCCAAGCTGTGCGAGCATGCAAGGCCCCATGGCCTCACACTGCAGACACCCCTTTCCAGCCACAATCCACCATCATCCTGACGATCCCACAACTGGGACAGAGGCTACATCTGCCCTAGGGAGGTCCTTCAGAATCTGTGGAGCAAGAAAGGATTTGGGGAAGCTTGGGGACTGACTCCAGAGCCCCCTCCTAAGAACCATCACCACCACTCAGCCAATCTGTTCTGGGCCCTGATTTTGCCACACCTCCATCCTGTAGCCCATTCTCTGACCCCAAGGAGTGGCAGAAGATCCCTTCACTCAGAGAAGCAAGGCTGATATTAGCTTGTTGAATGTAAGAGACACAAATGAAGAAGAACAAAGAGCCTGAGAAAGCAGCAAGAGGACATGATGAAAAATACGTGGAGTTGATGAGAAAGGGGAGCCAAGGCTTTATACGTCTAAAGAAAATATTCAGTAGCTGAATCCGCCCAGTGATAGCCTGTGGGCACCAGCAGCAAGGGCTGCCATGGGATACAGCACCCATCTACAAAGACCTCTATTACATAAACACTGCTTCTTACAGGAAACAAACCTCTTCTGGGATCTCCTTTTGTGAAAACCAGTTTGATGTGCTAAAAGTAAAAAGTCTATTTTCCAGTGTGGTCTTGTTCAGAAGCAGCCAGATTTCCAATGTTGTTTTTCCCCTCCACTCAGAAACCCCTGCCCTTTCCCTTCAGAAAACGATGGCAGGCATTCCTCTGAGTTTACAAGCAGAGACTCACTCCAACCCAAACTAGCTGGGAGTTCAGAACCATGGTGGAATAAAGAAATGTGCATCTGGTCTCTTCTGTTGTTTTTATTTCATATCAGATTAAATTTCTTTACCATGTTGGCTAAGTCTAAATATTAGAGATGAGGCTGTGCCTACTCCCTGGCCAGCTCTGCTGATAGCCTATGATGGGTTCCAATGGGAAATGACTCTTTACTATTAAAAGACAAGGAAAGCTCTGACTTCGTACTTCTCTGATGAATGGCAATGTAAATGAACAAGGCTCCATGTGACTGGAGCATGGAAGTGAATGCTACTTTCTTAATTTAATCTGCCCTGTCCTACCTGCTCCTCTGATTGTTAGCCATCACATAACTTATTGAATGCTTGCCATGTGCCAGGCACTGTGCTGAGTGCCATACATACATTTCATTTAATTATCCAATAATCCTACTTACTATTGTTTATTCTCAATTTACAGGTGAGGAAACTGAGACATAGAAAGCTTAAATAATTTGCTCTAGGTCCCTATACTAATTGAGATGTTTTCAGCAGACAAAAATAAGTCACTCTTACGCATGTAAAAATATTCTTTCACTCATAATAAAAGAAATGCAACTTAAAACCATACTGAGATCCTTTTTAAAACTGTCAGATTGGCAAAGATCAAAAAGCTTGTTAAGACTCCTAGCTGGCAAGCATGTGGGAAATAGGTACTCTCATAACAGCTGACAGAAGTACATATTGAAGAGGACAATATGGCAATGTCCTTCAAAATTATAAAAGCACTAACTCTTTGATCCAGTAGTTTCCACTTCTAGGAACTTAACCTTCAGATATATTTTCACCAGATATAAAATGACATACGTAAGAAGTTATTACTGCATCATTTGTAATAGCTAAAGATTAGAAACAATTAATTGCTATGGAACCCTTAAAAAAGGTGGCTCTAAATTCCTTAAGAAAGATATCCAAAACAAATTAAGGGGAAAAGGGAGGGTTGCATAACAGCATGTAACATAACACTATTTGTCTAAAGAATGGGGAAAGAGAAGCGGTTGTCTGTTCACCTCATCCTTGCCACTCCGCCTTATACCTCACCATCGGAGAACTTACCATCCCCCAAATATATCCTGCTGGCACTACACCTTCGTAACTGCTGTTCCCACTGCCCCCACAACACTCCAATCTCCACCTTCCTGCCAACCTTGAGATATTGTATGCATATATACATATTTCCTTTGTTTAAAATACAAATAGCATACTATGCATGCTGTTCTGCACTTTGCTTTTTTTTTATACTTGCAATTAGAGCTGCCTCATTTCATTTTACAGCTGTATACTATTCCATTGAATGGATAAACCATAATTTATTTAATCAGTCCCTCACTGACAGACGTTTCCATTGTTTCCTGTCTTTTGCTATAAATAATGCTGTAATGAATATTCTTGTGCATATTTCACATTAATTTATGGGATTACATCTGCAGGATAAATTCTTAGAACCAATGGTGGTTTGTGGGGAGGGTGACAGGGTGGATAGGTACAGGATTGGGAGACTTTTCACTGTATCTCCTTTTGTATTTTTTTGAATTTTGTACCATATGTATCACCTATTCAAAAAAAATAAAATATTTTTAAATACAGTTGCTGGCCAAAGATTGCTTAAATGCTCCTTCTCTTTATATATTTATCTGACTATAATTTACAACTAAAGCCAGGTGCTAATTATGTCAAAATTCCTTAATGCAAATTTGTCAGGCAGCCCTGTGGCATTTTTATGAAGAGTGGAAAATACGGATTTTAAAAGAACGATCATAAACATCAATGCTAGATAGGAAGAAAAATAGAAGAGATTCCTTCCTTTCAGACAAAACATGCAGTGAACAGTGTTAGGCCCTGCCCAAAGCCAGCTGCACAACATTAGCTTGGGTCCAGATTTCAAGGGAGAGCTGTACCACCACGATCAGTGCTGCCCACTTCCCTATACCAGGTTGATCCTGCCAAATGCCACCCCTGCACTCTAATGCTTTATAACAAACGACAAAACAACAGAGCTCGATTCTCAGAAGTTACAGAAAGAAGAGTCTCTTCCTGAACACCTACTTTAGTAGTCCTTCCTAATCTTTTACTTCTCAACTTCTTTCCTCCTATCCCTTGTAATCACTCAACATTCCCATACGAAGAAACTATGGGTGGGCCAGGCATGGTGGCTCGTGCCTGTAATACCGGCACTTTGGGAGGCTGAGGCAGGAGGATTGCTTGAGCCCAGGAGTTCGAGACTCCTGTGCAACATGGTGAAACCCCATCTCTACAAAAAATACAAAAAGTAGCTGGGCTTGGTGGTGTGCACCTGTAGTCCTAGCTACTTGCAGGGGCTGAGGTGGGAAGATTGTTTGAGCCTGGGAGGTAGAGGCTGCACCTCTGCACTCCAGCCTAGGAGACAGATTGAGACCCTGCCTCAAATAAAAAGAAAGAAACTAAGAGTGGATGGGACACATAATTTACATACCCTTGGTCACTCTCATCACATAACTCAAGTATGGTACCACAATAAGATCTGGGCATTGACCAAGAGACCTTCTCTTTGAAAAACAACATAAAGTCTCCACCAATGGAGACTTCCTGCTGCCACTTCTGGTTTCCCAATGAAGCTTTCTCAGTGTGAAGTAACATGATTTTCCCAAATCCGCCTTTTTTTTTTTTTTTTTTTTTTTTGAGACAGAGTCTCACTCTGCCACCCAGGCTGGAGTCCAGTGGTGCAATCTTGGCTCACTGCAATCTCCACCTCCTGGGTTCAAGTGATTCTCTTGCCTCAGTCTCCCGAGTAGCTGGGATTACAGGTGTCCACCACGCAGTTAATTTTTGTATTTTTAGTAGAGATGGGGTTTCACCATGTTGCCCAGGCTGGTCTCAAACTCCTGACCTCAGGTGATCTGCCTGCTTTGGCCTCCCAAAGTGCTGGGATCACAGGCGTGAGCCACCGTGCCCAGCCCCAAATCTGCCTTTTTCTAAACATAAAATTCCAATTCTCCCATTAACAGTAGATACTCACATATAAGCTGCATTCTAAGGGACTGTTTCTGTCTAGTGCACCACTGTAATTTGATTGATTTAGCAACAAAAGCTGTTCTGCTCGTGCTCAAGAGTTTTAAAACCACAAAATCAATAAATAACCCACAAAAATATTCTTAAAGAATATATTCTAATGTTTAAAATGTAGCAAAATCTTTTTAAGGAGGATGAAAGGACAGGTAGTCTGAACTGAAACCCTATCAGGCGCAGGTACTGGCGGCACTGTCTTGGTCATGTGTGCACACAGATGCTCCCATGGTATGCTGCTTTCTGCCTCCTTCCACCAGCTCTAAGAAATGTGCTCAGGTTTCTGAGTGTCCCCTTCTCTCCTCTAACCGCATGATAGGTTTGTTTTCTCTAAGTCCTAGGTTTTGCCATGTTGGAAATGTATCTAAGTTTCTGTCTCAGATATTTTCTAAACTCTATTTCCATTTTTTTAAATAGTAAATTCTTACTAAATGACCTTAATTCCAATCCAGTGCAGAAATGCAAGTCTTTACTGTAACAAACTTCTAGGCTCCCAAGCAAAAGATGGATTTAACCAGTAACTCTTCCAGAATCAACTTGGTTGTAGTTTCTCCAACATCAGTATTAATAAATCATTCGGTGTGGTGATGGTGGTAGATTTCTTTCACTGTCTGTCCACACAGCTCCACAGTACTCTAACAGGATTATTTCAAGCTCCGAAGCCTATTTAAGTGCCACACCTACACAAGTACTTTAATTCACTAGAATTTGTGATTTTAAAAGCTGTTTGGTGACCCTAAAGCAGAGTTGCCAAGGTCAGCAAATAAAAATATGAGTTAAATTTGAATTTCAAATAGTAATTTTTAGTATATGCAATATTTGAGACATATGCATACTAAAAAATTATTTACCTGAAATTCAAATTTAACTGGGCATCCTACATTTCATCTGGTAACCCAATCTAAAAAAAGGTTCCCAAGAATCTATTACCTATAACAATAAAGGGATCACTTCCTGCTGTGCATGAGACCAGAGCCATTTTACAACAGAAGGCAGGTAAAGCAACATATCCTAAAAAGATTCAGTCATTAAATTGTCACAGAATCTTAAAATGTCTGTATGAGTAGGGAGGCTATTTTTGAAATAATTCACTATCAGTGAGGGTTTGGTCCAAGTTTTCTGGGTAACGGGCTCTTGGTTTTATGACTCATAGCAGATCCACGAGCATGAGAGTAAAATGTATCTGTCCTATCAAACAGGAAGTGGCAAATGGGTTGCATAGACAATAAAGATAAGTCAAGTGGCACATTCTGGCAGGGTGAAGTGAAAAAGAGAACATTTCATTTACTTTTCTCATCCTCTAATAACTGGTGTCCAAGCTACCCAATCTGTGACCCTGATCCACAACACAATAAGAACCTTCTTTAAAATGAAGCTTTTATACATAGCTATCCACATATGTACAAGCAGCTCTTAAGGCAAGAGAAGTTAATTCCAAATTTTAGAGCCATGGAGGCTCTACAGATTATACGGAGTTTCAACCAGTGATTAAATCTGAGGTAACAGCATCTGGAGGCTCAGCCTTAGCACTGAGTGGAGGGAAAAATTAAGCCAAGAGTAAAATCTTCACATTCTGAAAATAATAGTGGCAAAACATAACACTCCTGGACTGCGGGAAATAAAATTGAGAGGGACATGATTAGAAGTAAACTTCTAGAATTCTACTAATTCCAGGTTCTTCAAATTGGTACAACTGGTGACAATCCCAGAGTCACCAGTCATCACATCAAAGTTTGATAGAGAAAGATGACCCACAGGAGCAGCCTTGCTGTGCTTGAGGATTGTTCAACACTTGAAATGAGCTTCGGATCAGTTCTTGGCTGAAGTCCACCTGGGCCCCTTTCACGAAGGCCAAGCTATCAGAGTCAACCACCACTCTTGCCCCACCCTGTTCAAATACCCTGAAAAGACAGGAGGAAGGCATTAAGGAGTATCGCAAACACAAAAAAGACACCCCCTGAGCCCAGAGGTGCACATCCTCTGTTTTCTAAAGTACAGAGGGAGCTTCCCCATTACCTTTAACAGGTGCTGATTTTCTTTGAGGCAAAATGATTCAATGGAATAAATACTGGGAAACGTGTAGGGACTTAAGCCTGGAATCTAGTCCGGCCTGACTTTCTACCGACTACCCAATGGACCTGGGCAGATCAATTTTGCTCCTATAACTTAGTTACTTTGATTCAGAACAACAAACCTTTACTGCATCCTCACTGTGAGACGGGCGGTGTTAACCATCCCAGGTAAACCCTTTAAATTTGGAATAAAAGTGCACCTTAAACTGGAGACACTTTTGTCCCTCCTGTACCTCCTTTGGGGGCCCACCCCTTCCTCCTTGCCTGTCGTCGGGGTTGATAACTGTATCCAGTGAAAATTTGTATTGGAATCCGGAGCATCCACCTCCCTCCACTTGCAGCCTGAGGAATTCTGACCCTTCGGTGATTTCCAAAAGCCTCTGAAATGCAGGAAGGGGGATCAAGAATAGCGGGAAACGGGAGTTAAAGGGCTGAGTGAAGAGCAGTTCCCGCTGCTCCCGCCAATCGCCTGGGTACCGCCGCTCCGCGTCCGGCCTCCTACCTGGACGCAACTGTCTGTGAGGCGGATCTGCCCTTCGCCGGCCTCGGGGCTGGAGGACGACGCCTCCCGACGCGCCTGGGGTCCCAGGGAGGCCGTGAGGAGCCTGCGCGCAAGGGAGGAGGGTGAGCCCGGGAGCAGAAGGGGCACCTTGCAACCCTCGACCTGGAGCGCCTCACGCTAAACCTGGCGACCCCCACCTGGACGGCCTCCCACCAAACCCTCGCATCCCCCACAGGCCTTAGTTTCCCATTTGTCCTAGAGGCGCAGAACCAAACACCCTTTCCAGGTGCCTTTCTAGTCTTGGTACCTGCCCCTCGGCCAGGGAGTGACCGCTCTCTGCGTCGCGGCCGTTAGGGACGACCCCCAGGCGGCAGCCATCTTCCTCCACAAGCTCCGCCCCTCGCGTCTCCCCCGTTTCTCACCCGGGGCCTCGGGAGGCGGAGAGAACGAACAGGAGGCCGGGACTTCACGGAGGCCCCGCCCCCCCAACATGCCTATTGGGTAGTGCGGGAGGAGAAGGTGTCTGATTGGCTAGGAATGCTCCAGACGGCAGCGGCGGGGACGCACCCAGGAAGCCGGAGAGGTGCTCTAAAGGGAAGGAACGGGGCGGGGAGGAGTGAGGCGGGGCGGGGCGGAGGTGGGTCCGGGCGGGTCAGGCCTCTGAGGGGATGGCATGGGCGGAGACTGCAGGCTTCTGGGCCTGAGAGGGCTGGAGCTGGCTTTCCGGAGCCGGGGGCGGGGCGCGGGCGGGCCTCAGCTGTGGTTACTGGTGACAGGTCGCCTGACTGGGCTCCTCCCCGGGCCCGCCCCGACAGGTTTGTCTTGTGACCGCGGGCGGCCGCTGCTTCTTTCCCGAGCTTGGAACTTCGTTATCCGCGATGCGTTTCCTGGCAGCTACATTCCTGCTCCTGGCGCTCAGCACCGCTGCCCAGGCCGAACCGGTGCAGTTCAAGGACTGCGGTGAGCCCCAGGCCCGCCCAAGGTTCCCGCGCCCTCTGTGGAAGGCCCCGCCGGACCCCCGCGCTGAGACCCCTGGGGCTGGGCTGGGCGGATCCCTCGGGCGGCCAGGCTGAGCCTTGGACCCTACCTAACTGGAATGGGCTGGGTCGGGGGAGAAGGCGCCGGCCTCCATGAAACCCGACCGCGCACAACTTTGTTTCTTTCCTTAGAACGCGTGTTTTGGGGTTCCTGGGAACTCCAGGAGGTGGGCCTTTTGCTGAAGTTTCCTAAAGTTTGTAGGGCGGACAACAGAAGGGCTGTATCCAGCTCTGGTGGAGGGGTGGAGCACAGAACTTCTTTTTATTTATGCTTTGTATCTTGGAATCCCGCCTCCCCCTTCCAACTCCTTTTGCTTTTCTTTTAATTTCGTTTTTGCTGACAAGTCAAAAGTCAATTCCCCTTTTTCATCATTTATTGTTACAAATAGGACTTCCTTTGGGCTTTGGAATCTTGTGATTCTTAATCAGTTTTTCCTTGTATAAATCTCATTGTGTCTCTAATCACAGCTTGTGATACATAACTCCCTCTCGCCGCTGTGGTTGGAATCTTTGTTGGAAAATACAACAGGTGGTAGAAATTCTGAGTGCCTTCATTGAGTCGAGTCTATAGAATTGTCGGAACAGAAACTCGAGCAATGTTGTTCAGAGGTGGAGATAGAGAGATAGAACTGTCAATGAAAGAGGCATGAAACTGACTTTGTAAGATCTATGAGTGGAAAGGAAGCACGGAGATCGTATAATCAATCATTGAATTCCAGGGATGTTGGGTAGCCTACCTAAAGTCACGCAGCAGAATGGGGAGCCAGAGTAAGTGTAACCGCCCAAGGGGTTCACCTTGCGCATTGCCTAGACAGAGCGGATTTATCAAGATGGGATTTGCAGTGGCGAAAAGAGTAATTCACGCAGAGCCGGCTGTGGGGGAGGCCGGAGTTTTATTGTTACTCAGATCAGTCTCCCCGAGCATTCGGGGATCAGAGTTTTTAAGGATAATTTGGCGGGTATGGGCTTGGAAAGTGGGGAGTGCTGATTGGTCAGGTTGAAGATAAAATCATAGGAGAGTCGAAGTGAGTTCTTCTTGCTGACCTCTGGGTGGTGTCATTTGCTGCATCGGAATGCAGGATCTGCAAAATATCTCAAGCACTGACCTTAGGTTTTACAATAGTGATATCATTACCAGGAGCAATTTGGGGAGGTTCAGACTCTTACAGCCAGAGGCGGCGTGGCCCCTAAACTCGTAGCTAATTTGTTAGTCCTACAAAGGCAGACCGGTCCCCAGGCAAGAAGGGGTTTTTCAGGAAAGGGCTATTATCCATTTCGTTTCAGAGTTTAAACTATAAATTCCTCTCCAAGACTAGTTCAGCCTACACCCAGGAATGAACAAAGACAGTTTAGAGGTTAGAAGGAAGATGGGTAGGTGAGTCCTGATCTCTTTCACTGTCTTAATTTCCTCAGGATTTTTGCAAAGGCGGTTTCATAAGTTTGCTGCTTTATATCCAGTGCCCAGGTAATAGTAACTGCTCAATGAAATGTGTTGAAAACATAGATGGAAATCTTTTTCCCCTATGTCATAAAAATTCATGTTGAGACAAAAGCAAAGTTGGGGATTAGGGGACAGGATTGATTAAGGAATGGAGTGCTGGCCGATTAACACTTAAATGCTATTCCATTGATTTAGGAGACTGGCACTTGAAAGCTATTATCGCTTCAAATTACTGCCTTTCCCTCCATTAAACTTAGTAGCCAGCGTTTGGATGAAGACACTATTAATTTTAATAACTCATTCCGGCCAGGCACAGTGGCTCACACCTGTAATCCCAGCACTTTGGGAGGCCAAGACGGGCAGATCACGAGGTCAAGAGATTGAGACCATCCTGGCCAACATGGTGAAACCCCATCTCTACTAAAAATACAAAAATTAGCTGGGCATGGTAGTGTGCACCTGTAGTCCCAGCTACTCGGGAGGCTGAGGCAGGAGAATCGCTTGAACCCGGGAGGTGGAGGTTACAGTGAGCCAAGATCACGCCACTGCACTCCAGCCTGGCGACAGAGCAAGACTCCGTCTCAAAAAAATAAAATAAAATAAAATAACTCATTCCATCCTCACAAGCTGTCTTACAGATGAGGAAAGCGAAGCACATAGAGTAACTTGCCCAAGATCTCACACCCAGTAAGTGGTAGGAAACCGTGGGTCTTTGTGAGCCACTTTGGGTTTCCAAAAAAAGAAGGGAAATAAATCCAGAAATTATTCTACTTATTTGAAAAAGCAGGAGTACACCTATGGGAAGAAGCTTTTAAAGGGAAGAAGGGTTTCAGTTACAGATTTATAATTTACTTTTGAATTGGGAAATATGATATAAAGACTTCAGTGCCCACATCAAAGATTTTTGTGTTCCACTCTACACCCACCTTCCCTGGCGTGGGATTTCCTCAAGTGAGAAAGTGGACCAAGCAAACTAATTTTGTAATGTTTGCTGGTTAGAACAGAGGAGTTTGTTCTATTGACACTGGAAGTCTAAGAACCTCTTGTCATCAGAAAACTGGATGAAAGAGCTATAAGTACTACCCTTTACTTACTTCCTACTAGATTATGTGACTCAGCCTTGAAAGAAGCAGGTGGAAGCTGGACATTGAAAGCCTTAACATTAGCACTGATTTTCAATAGATTGTTGATTGAAGTTCGGGATTTCTTTTTTCCCTATTCACCAAAAATGGGTTGGAGTGGAAGAGAGTGTTTCTCAAACTGTTTTGGATGCTTAAGAGTGTGTGCAGTTTAAGAACTTTGCAATGATGGAGAAGCAAGCTGAGGGATAAAGGACTGCAAGGTACTATTTACTGACCTAGCTGGAGCAGTGTTGGTCAGTGTGATGATAGTTAAAGAGACTGTTCCACCCAAGGGTAGGTACAGGCAGCAAAGAACATCTACTTAGATTTCTGAGTTCATATCATACTTTTATAGTACTGAGCTAATCTGGTGACTGACTGCATAGCAGATAATGTACTCTCAACCTGCAGTTTGCCTCTGTCTTCATGCATTCCACTTTTGAGACAGAAAGAGTCCATCCTATTGGCTAGAAACATAATTTCTATCCACAAAGTATATTTGAGGTGAGAGGTCCAGTTTTTGTGTCAGAAGGGAACTTGCTAACCTACCCAGGAGCAGCTATTCTAGATTAAACTCATGGACTAAATCCAGATATGATAATAATAGTAAATATATGTATCACTATGTTCCAAACACTTACCTAAGATCTGTATTTGTGTTAGCTCAGCTACACCATTATCTCCAGAGAGGTAAAGTATCTTGCCTTGAGGCTATACAGTAAGTAGCAGAGATAGTGAGATTTCAAACCCAGGCATCCGGCACCAGAGTCTGCCTCTCAGCAATGATGGCTGAATGGCAGAACTTAACTTACCCTGTTACAGGCACTGTTATCAGGCAGTTCACCTGCATTCTCTCCCATTCAACTGCCCAGTCTCTGGGGCAGGAGGAAATGGGATTTTTAAAGGCTTTATTTAAACCTTTTTTGGTCAAGCATTTATTGTATACAAGTACTTTTGTCCTTGGTTAGACTGAGATTAAAATACATACATACACACACAGACACACACACACACACTTATTTTAAGAACGCAGGTTCCCAAAATCGAGTATACATCTGTAGATTGCAGATGTGTGCTTAAAATCAGTTTTTGAAACTACTTAGAAACAACCTGGACAAGTCAGATGAATCCAATTTCTTTTCTTAAATTTTTTAATTTTGAAAAATATGTATTTGTTTTGAGGATTCCCAGGGATAAATCCTATTTCTGACTCTTTCTAGTACCTTCTTAGGTCTCATCCTTATGTTTTTAACATATGCAGTATTTGCAAGTGTATCATTCCCAGCAGCTATATAGACCTAGGCCAAGTTAATATTTCAGAGGAAATGAAACCCAGACTCAGGTAGCAGTATTCTTCTTTAATGCAGCTGGCACTTCTGCCATCTTGGCTGTGTGAGTCAGTGCTATTTGGAGTTAAGCTTAACTTGTGCCCTAAGCTTGTACTGAAACTATAAAGACCTTAACCTCTGTACTCCTCTTCATCCCCTTGATTCTTGGAAAAAATCCAGATCTTAACAACCTTAGTCAAGATTTAAGGTACTTCCTGTTGTTTTTGGAGCCAAAATATTTCATGACTCATAAGTGGGCCTTAAAGAACAGGACTAAATCATTGAAGAAACTGCAGAAGTGCAGTGAAAATGGTGCAGTTCCCAATTCAGAAGTGGGAGGTAGTTCCTCTCTTAAGGGTCATTCCTAGTTCAGAGATGGTAGGTGGTTTTTCTGTTTAGGGTCACTCCTCTGTTCAGTGTTAAGTGGTAGTTCCTCTTAAATTCCATAGTCTGCTTACTCGGAAGTGAGTAGGCTTCTGGAATCAGTCTTATTTTATTTTATTTTATTTTTTGAGACAGAGTCTTGCTCTGTCACCCAGGCTGGAGTGCAGTGGCGCAATCTCGGCTCACTGCAACCTCTGCCTCCCCAGTTCAAGCGATTCTCCTGCCTCAGCCTCCTGAGTAGCTGGGATTACAGGTGAGCACCACCATACCTGGCTAATTTTTGTATTTTTATTAGAGACGAGGTTTCACCATGTTGGTCAGGCTGGTCTCGAACTCTTAACCTCTTGATCCACCTGCCTTGGCCTCCCAAAGTGCTGGGATTATAGGCATGAGCCACCATGCCCACCCTTGAATCAGCCTAATTTTAAAAGCCAAGACTGATATTCTGACACTTTTCATCGTTTTACCTATACCTTTAATAGTGCTGCTTATTTCTCTAGGAAGTCAAGTTGGGGTGAAAGAAAGAAGGGATTCCAGGAAGACAAAATACTGGGCAAAGGATTTACCAGCAGTTTGGGAGAAAGGGTACAAAATCTGGATAGAAGATACTTCATCACTGAAAATCACAGAGGATATAGGGGTTGAACCTCTACGATAGAAAGAGAATCATGGTGAGGGGCAAAGAGGCGATGCTGAATTAAGAAACCTGAAAAGTTGAGTTTGAGACAGACCTTCATCCAGAGTCCTCAAGTAGTTCTCAGATGCAAATTTCCTTGGGGTGTCCTTCCATTCATCAACATGGCTGCGTATTTAAAGCTTCTTTCAGGTTCCGGTAACAAGGGCTTCCAAGTCAGGCCCACCCATTGAGTCTTCGATCTGCCCCTTCCAGGCAATGTGACCTTGGACAAATCTCAGTAATCTTTGCTCTTCTGGTTTCTAACCCCTAAAACAAGGATGATAAATACCATTGTTGTGAGATGTTTTCTTCAGATGCCTCTGCTTTCCTTCATTCTTGCTAGTCAAGGTACAATTTCCATAGAGTCTAAAAATGAATGATTCAGGAACTAAAAACTCTTGAAGCCAGATTCAAGAAAGGTTCAGTCTGTTTTGGGATCTGGCAGACTTTCCAAGCAATAATAGCAGACTCCCTCAATCAGTGTTTGCTCATGTAGAACTTGAGGTAGAAAGATGTTGTAATTCATTTCTGATCTTCCTCCGCGGAGTTTCAGGCTCTACATTTGCTTTCTAGCTGTTTCCGCATAAAGTGCGGTTTTTGGCCAGGTGCGGTGGCTCATGCCTGTAATCCCAGGACTTTGGGAGGCCAAGGTGGGCAAATTGCTTGAGCCTAGGAGTTTGAGACCAGCCTGGGCAACATGGTGAAACCCTGTCTCTACAAAACACAAAAATTAGCCGGGTGTGGTGGTGCATGCCTATTGTTCTAGCTACTCAGGAGGATGGAGTAGGAGGATCACTTGAGCCTGGGACGGTTGAGGCTGCAGTGAGCTGAGATTGTGCCATTGCATCTAGCCTGGGTGACAGAGTGAGACCCTGTCTCAAAAAAAAAAAACAAAAAAAAACCACAAAAACAAAACAGGGAGGGTGCAATGACTCACGCCTGTAATCCTAGCACTTTGGGAGGCCTAGGCAGGCAGACCACGAGGTCAGGAGATCAAGACCATCCTGGCCAACATAGTGAAACCCTGTCTCTACTAAAATACAAAAACTTAGCCGGGCATGATGGCACTCGCCTGTAGTCCCAGCTACTCAGGAGGCTGAGGCAGGGAATGGTTTGAACCCGGGGGGTGGAGGTTGCAGTGAGCTGAGACTGTGCCACTGCACTCCAACCTGGTGACAGAGCAAGACTCCATCTCAAAAAAAAAAAAAATGTAGTTGTTCCTGTAGTGAACAACTTTCATCAGATTTACATGCTAATCTATATGCTAGAAAAAGAAAGGGAAAATAGGAATATTTTCATCCAAAGGAAGGTTGAAGCAAACGTCTTCAAGGTTTAAGTTTAAACTGTGACCCTTACCATTAAGAATGCGAGATAAGACTCTAGGAATGTTTGGAATTTCTCTGATTGAAGTTTAATTCCTTTAATATGATCATTTATGGATATGGTCTTGATATTATTTAGTTTGACAAATATTAACTTTCTCTTGATCAAAAAACCAACTAGCTTCTTTATCATCTGAATTAAAGGCTATGATTTTAGCAGCAAGATGAATCAAGATTCTGACTTCTAATTGGGCATTATTCTTAAAGATTCCATCCTGGGAAACAGTCCGAGGAGAATGAGTTGACCCTAAATGGGAGAGCAGAGCACCTTCCCATTAGGTGGTGGGCAGCCTAGCTGGCTTATTTCTCCTCCTATTCTCCTATTCCAATTCATTTTTCTTTTGCAGGTTCTGTGGATGGAGTTATAAAGGAAGTGAATGTGAGCCCATGCCCCACCCAACCCTGCCAGCTGAGCAAAGGACAGTCTTACAGCGTCAATGTCACCTTCACCAGCAGTGCGTAAAAGTGGCTCTTAACTCAAATTCATGTTACAGCATAACCTAAATATCAAGTGTTGGAATAAGCATGGGAATGGAGGGGAGGGGAATTGGCAGTCATGAATTTTATGATTTCTTTTGCACCTCATGCAAAGCTAGGGTTCACTGTGCCCTTGGACACCCTTCTCATGCAGGGTCCATGGCTCCCAGACTCCCTTTAAGCAAACAGGGAGATGTCCATGTGTTCACAGGTTAGAGAAGACAGCTTGGCTTTTCTGTCTTGACCCATATTGCATAGTAGGCTATGATGGGAATGTCAGCTCTGTTTAGCTACAGACTGCAGAGTATTAGTATGGACCCCAATTCTTTAAGCTTTGGAACTCCTCCAAAATGTTGTTTTAAGCAGTAATGCCTTTCAGCTATTAAGTCTACATCCCACCTGAAAATAAAGGTGCAACTAATACTTAACAGCCTCCTTAAGATTTAGGGAACCCACTGGGGACCCAAGAAATAGCCAAGAAATCTGAGCTTTCTTCTCCAATATTCAAGAAATATCATTGGAACTTTTTGCTTTCTTGTACCACATCACTTTGAGATTTTTAAGAATCTAGACAAATGTAAAATCTTTTATTACTAAGCAGGGCATGTTCCTTGAATCTTTTCCTCATTTTCTGTCCTGTGAAACTAGACTAGACAGTCTAATAAGAAACCTCAAAGTTCCTGTCATCTTTTGTTCATAAGCCTAAAGACAGCTCTAAGTACTAGCTCCCTGTTTCCTCTCTGGACTATACCCTGGCCTCTCTATTGTTCCAAACCAAAAAAAAAAGCCTTCTGAACAAGTCATCCCCAACCCAGACAGAAGGAAAGAAACAGAACCAATTTTCTGGGTCTCCAAAATACCCTAATAACTCATAAGTCTGATTGCCCTCATTTTTTAATACCTTTATTCCTCCTGGCCATCTTGTGATGTGGAGGGTAAAGTTTATAAAGAATTGCATGTCTTTCTAATCTTACCCAATTTCTTTTTTTTTTTTTTTTTTTTTTTTTTTTTTGTGACAGAGTCTCGCTCTGTCACCCAGGCTGGAGTGCAGTGGCGCAATCTCAGCACACTGCAACCTCCGCCTCCTGGGCTCAAGCGATTCTCCCGCCTCAGCCTCTTGAGTAGCTGAGATGACAGGCATGCGCCACCACGCCCGGCTAATTTTTGTAGTTTTAGTAGAGACAGGGTTTTTCCATGTTGGCCAGGCTGGTCTCAAACTCCTGACCTCAGATGATCCACCCGCCTCAGCCTCCCAAAGTGCTGGGATTACAGGTGGGAGCTACTGTGATCCAGCCTAATCTTACCCTGCTAAAGGGTTACCTCTTTCACTGTTGTTACAGACCATGACATTTAAGACACACAATATACTTGGACAGAAGCTGATATAAATAGCAAACAGAAAGTTTACTGCCAAAAATCAGTTGCCTTGTTAGATAAGGTTGTTTATCCAGGTATCTCTGATTCTCCTAAGAAACTGTGAAGGGCCATGAAGAGCAAGGTTAAGAGCAAAGAAAACTTCTGCTGATTGTTTTTTTTTTTTTTTTTTTTTTTGCATAATTGTGTTTGGAGTGAATGCTTGCACTGTGCTAGTACCAAGCACCACTATCAAGAGAAATAGACCCTAGGAATGCTGTTGCTTGGGATTATTTCTGAATTTTTGATTTAGAGTTTGAAAATAGGTTATTTTCTTTGCCATCTGATTCTCTTTTTTTCTCTTAGATATTCAGTCTAAAAGCAGCAAGGCCGTGGTGCATGGCATCCTGATGGGCGTCCCAGTTCCCTTTCCCATTCCTGAGCCTGATGGTTGTAAGAGTGGAATTAACTGCCCTATCCAAAAAGACAAGACCTATAGCTACCTGAATAAACTACCAGTGAAAAGCGAATATCCCTCTGTAAGTGATACCATTATTGAGGACACGGGAGGCCTTGGGACTGGATTAGAGTTCTGAGGGCAGTGGGCAAGAAGCAGAGATGGGGGTAAAGGGCCCCTTATCTCTATGATGAAGAAGAAGCCCGAGGGAAAGGAGATAGGTGCGGTGTTAGGCATCAGGAGGTAGGGCAGGTCTTTTTCTCTGTGTCTCTTCATTCTTTCACTATGACCTGATGGTTAGCCTGGGCCTAATGATGCCATTTGTTTTTTAATATACTAAAATTTAATCATACATAAGAACTGTAATTTAATCTGACAGTAAAACACAAGAAGCAATATTAGAGTTGGTTTAGTATATTGTATATTTTAGCTTTGAAAGTCGTAGAAATCAGTTACCCCAGTTTTTTTCCTATAAAAGACCCATTTTTCCAAAGCATTATGCACAATTTCAATTAGAATATAATGACAGAGGATATTCCATAATTTTTAAAATATAAAATGAGGTAATTGATTCAAAAAAGTTATCTACTGCAATATCAATATCATTACAGATATAAAGTATGATGGTTCAACTTTTTAGTGCTTGATAGGGAGGAATCATGATAAAAAGGTCAATATGAAATCATTTGATTATAGTAGCAATATCTAACATTTGAAATGCATCCATGCTCTTTTGTATAATCATATTAGAGTCAAGTATATTTTCACATCTGTTATGTCTTATTTTCCAAGAGATATACACAGAGCAGTTTTTTTTCTCCAGGGAACTTATACAAACCAATATAAGATCTAAATTCTTCACATAATGTATAAAACAGGAGAAGCCTCTTCAAATTTATTTTTTGAAGTCTGGAATGCTGGCACTTTCCAATTAGGCAATAGTTCTTCATTCCTGTAACCTAGCTCAGAGCTGCTGCTGACTATGGGCCTAGAGCAGCAGACATGATTTCTTTTTAGGCTGTTTCTTTTCCACTGGTGTTTTTCTATTTATCTGTCTGACCAGGTCATAAAATATTTCATTAACATTGACCTTTGACTTTGCAGATTATTCTAAAATGGCACAGTTCCATCACTGTCATGCTAAATTCTGGCCCTGTTCTTTGCCAACTACTCACTCATCTTCCAGGTCACATTTATTGCCAACCAAAATCATTGGAACATCTTCTGTGTCCTTAACCAGTAAAATCTGTTCCCTCAGGTCCTGTAAGTCAAACGTGGACTGAATATACTAGTGCAAAACCTTGGCCATTCTTCATATACAAATCCCTCATTGCTGTAAATTGCCCTGTGCCTGCAGTATCTAGGATTTTAAGCATACACTGTTGGCAGTTGACTTCAACTTGCTTTCTGTAGGAATCTTCTATCGTTGGGTCATATTTTTCAACAAAAATTCCCTGAACAAACTGAACCATCAGAGCAGACTGCCCAACACCTCCTGAACCAAGGACCACTAGCTCACCCGTGATGTGGTCTGTTTAAATACTGATGATTCCCCCAGTCTGGCACCTCCTCCACCTCCTCCTCCCTCCTCCCTCCTCCCTCCTCCCTCCTCCCAGCTGCGGCTCCTGCTTCGGCTCTGCACAGCAACGGCTGATGCCATTTTTATATACAATATTTCACTTGGATCTCATGACCATCCTATGTAGAGGTGATATTATCTCTATTTTACAGCTGAAGAAATTTGAGCCTCTGAAGTTATGCAATATGAACAGAGTCCACTCCACTAAGAAGCAGTGGAGCCCAGGTTTTGAGCTGGGTCTTATAACTCCAAAGCCTGTGCAATGTTAAAAGATTTTAGCCAGGTACCAAATAATTAAAGATCCAAGTTGTCTTAACATTGTCATCAGAAAATCCTGGTTTCTCCATTAATCTCTTAACAAAACAAGAGAGCAGTAGTTTGTTAGCTCCATGGCAGAGAGGTAGCTTTTTCCAGCCTTCTTTCTGCCCTCCAATCCCCACCTTCACCTCTGACCCATCCCTGCTGCACCTACCTCTTTTTCTACCAAGCACTCATAAGGTAGATCCTGCTGCAGTGGACCTGTATTAAAGATATGTATCTTGATAAGAATGGAGGAAATAGAGGGATGGCCTTTTTCCATGAAGAAAAAGAGCCGCATTTCTTGAAATCAAGTAGAACTCAGGAGCAATATCTGGCCATTTATTTTCTAGGAAAGGTAAGTAATTAAAGAACATTCTAAAGAGACTCAAATATAGGATGTCTGTGCTTAAGGGCTGTTGGAGACCTTAGAGGTCAGGGACAGATTAGTAGATGAATATCCACATAACCATGGGCATGTCTGAACCTCAGTTACGTATGCAGTGACTAGTCAGAGCCTGATACGTAGTAGGTACTTAATGTATGGTAGTTATTGTCTGTTAAATGAGTTACATTTAATTTGAAAAATAGCTCAAACTGCTTAAGCACTAAATGAAGCAGTAGTTAATGTATACTAGTCTGGAAAAACTCACAAGGCAAGTTTCAAGAACCTGAATATCAGTGCCACTCACATGTTCCATTGTGAAGAAACATTAGAGTACAAAAGAGAGGTAGTAACTAGTGACAAGTAAGCTAATGTCCACATAAGAAAGGACCTGCAGAGTGTCAGTGAGTTATCAAGAATTGGAAGGGACCACTCACGTGATATGAGTGTAACAAGTCAAGGCAGGGATTTCTGATGAAGTACATTATTAGAAAGCAGTTTAAGGGCGTTAACTGAAAGTATATTGCTACAAAAGGTTGTCATCCTTGAAATTATTCATACAGCTACAGACTTCTCTAGGCCATCTTTTGTGCTTTGACATTTCCATTTCTAGCTAACAAGAACGTTTCCTTATACCTAAGAATCTAAATTTTTTTTACTCTCTGCTCTTCATGGTTACATTGGGAAAAAGCTGGATCAGATTGCCAAATACATGAGAAATTGCTTAAATGTGAAATTATTCATGTAAGCCTTCATGTGTTAGTCCATTTGCCTTGTTGTAAAGGAATACCTAAGACTGGGTAACTTGAAAAGAGGTTTGATCAGCTCACGGTTCAGCAAGCTGTACCTGAAGCATAGTGCCACCACCTGCTTCTGGTGAGGCTTCAGGAAGCTTACTGTTAGGACAGAAGGCAAAGGGGAGCCAGCGTGTCACATGGCCAGCACTAAAGCAAGAAAGAGAAGGGGGAGGCCCCAGACTCTTTTAAACAGCCAGATCTCATGTGAAGTCAGTGAGAACTCACTCATCACCAAGGGGACGGTGCTAAGCCGTTCATGAGGGATCTTCCTCCATGATCCAATACTTCCCACCAGGCCCACCTCCAACATTGGAGGTCACATGTCAACATGAAATTTCAAAGGGACAAATAACCAAACCGTATCACTTCATTTATATGCCATTGATCTAAGAGAGAAGAGAATGCTTTAGAAATTACATTTGATAAATTAACCAAGTTAGTATGTGGTGCTGCTAGCATCAAATCACAAGTATAACTTTGTTCACTCTCTTAAGGCTGTAAGCTGTGCCCACATGCTAAGCAGCCCTCATGATTTAAGAAAAAAAGTATGAGGAGTTAGGAAGTTTGCTACTGTACATCTAGGATTCATAGTTAAACCAATTATGGATAGAAGTCAGGTCCTATTTTCATTTTTCTCAATTATTTTTCTCTTTCTCCAGATAAAACTGGTGGTGGAGTGGCAACTTCAGGATGACAAAAACCAAAGTCTCTTCTGCTGGGAAATCCCAGTACAGATCGTAAGTCTATCTGGGGGTGAGAGGGCATGGGTGGAGGGAAGAAAGTGGAGGAGAAATCAGACTGAAACTAAATCAGTGCCATAAGATAAAAGGAATTTCAAGACTGCTGTTTTATGCCTCTCAACCTCTAAAAGCATCTGAGACCCTATTTCCTGAGAGCTCAGAACTGTTGCCTTTGTAATATCCTTTGTTAAAAAAAAAAAAGGTTGAAGGAAAGAAGAGAGAGTGAGACTGTAGAGATTGATTTAACTGTCTTCATTGGTTTTTTTCTGTCGGAGTAAGGAAGGTCCAGCCAGACAGGACCTGAAGGAGGTTGCTTAGGAATGTCTGATAACTTGCCCTAGGGTTATTGCCCTGACAGTGGAGGAAAGGTTCCAAACCACTTCCACTGAGCTGGGACATTACATCCACAGGTTTCTCATCTCTAAGTGCCTCATTGAGTTCGGTGCATCTGGCCAATGAGTCTGCTGAGACTCTTGACAGCACCTCCAGCTCTGCTGCTTCAACAACAGTGACTTGCTCTCCAATGGTATCCAGTGATTCGTTGAAGAGGAGGTGCTCTGTAGCAGAAACTGAGCTCCGGGTGGCTGGTTCTCAGTGGTTGTCTCATGTCTCTTTTTCTGTCTTAGGTGGTTTCATTAAATGCAGCACTTGGTTAGCAGATGTTTAATTTTTTTTTTAACAACATTAACTTGTGGCCTCTTTCTACACCTGGAAATTTACTCTTGAATAAATAAAAACTCGTTTGTCTTGTCTTCTGCATGTGGGCTGTGGTCTTCTCCTGCTCCTTTCAGGGTACATTCTGCTAGAACCATGGAAGGCAGGCCCCCAGTTCCGTGGTCCCAGAGTGCACTGAAGACATGACTTTTTCAGAAACTCTTTTTCCTCCTTTTTGTCCAGTAAGACCATATCTATTTTATATAAAATGGCCTTGTTTTGCTTTATTTGACACAATCTTATACCACCAAGCATGCTCGAAAGAAGCAGTGAAAGTAAAAATCACCTAGTTGAATAATAACGCCTGAAAGGTTGAAGGAACTGAATTTGGTGGGGAGGGCAGGTAGGGGTTAGGGATTACAGGTTAGGATGAGGCATGGTGATCTTTTGGGAACACTGCTGTGAAGAAAGCCTAGAAGCTTAAAAATGAAATGTGAAGTTGTAGCAAGTAATGGCTAAATTAATTAAATCTTGGAGTTTCCTATCTTAAAGTACAAGTATAATCATGGGCATATATTTTGCCACCTATTTTGAGTCAGTATACTAGCAGTCAGCTCTTAGGTGGTACAGGGATTACAACCCCATTCACAATTGAGTTGAATAACATGGACCTTAGGTCATCCATTGTTAGGGCAAAAGGAAGGAACATTCATACAAAGTGCTTGTGAGCAAGTGATTGATTTGATCCAGTTCTTTTCATCCCACTAATTTCACTAGACCCTTGGATTTCTTTGGTCTGTGAGTTTCCCAGGAAAACCACCAGGGGACAGTGATGGATCAGGAATACAGTTATCAACAGCCAAGCTTTCCTAGTTAATGCTAGGAGCCAGTCAACCAGTGTACTTTTTACCTAAGATCTTTTGTGTATCCTGCCACATTGAGTCTAGAGTGACAGTCCACCTTGTCTCCCATACCAGACTCTAGATGTATCAGAATTGTGTGAATTCCTGAGGCTGTTAACTGTTGTGCGGGTCTCTGGCTTCGGACTGCCTATGGTTGAATCCTGGCACCAACAATTAACAGGACTACCAGTGTGATCTTGAAATCACTTCATCTCTCTGTGTGTCAGTCTCCTTATCTGTTAAATAGGACTAATAATAATAGGGCTGTGAAGACTAAATGAGATGAGGCATGTAAAACACTTAGAATGACCCTGGCTATAGTATATACTCTCTAAATGTTAGCTGTCACTCTGGGAGACAGACATTCTTCTTTGTCTACAAATAGCAGGAAAATTAGAAGGTTCAATCTGAGATTTGATGATGTCTCCTCAGAAGGATGAGGCTATCCTCTGTGCACAAGAACTTTCTGAAAGGCCTGGAAAAGCTCAATTCTCATGTGTCCACTGTCTCCCTATTCCCAGAAGATTTCTCATGCCATTTAGCTCCTTTGAAGTTAACAGCTACCCACCCTGCATACTCCTCTGCCCTTGTGTTAAAAGAAGACAGGACTCACAATACCATGCAAAATGAGTACTTGCCTCTAGCTAGGAACAGTGCCTACTTCAGGGAGAATTGATTTTGATACAGCTGACTAGTTTGAGTGTTAAACTATTTTGGAAATAATTTACATATCTAAGTTCTAAAATATATTTTTCTTTCCTCCACTTATTCTTCAAATTTGAAACAATGTTTTAATACTGTATATCTTTCATTGTTTATAACTTGCATTCTTTGTGAAAATTTGTTCTTAGGGACAAAAAAATTCTTAATCTTTTTATGTGTAAAGCAGGAACAGACAGATAATACATAAACAGATACATATTATATCTGCGGTATTAAAATTTGGTGGGGTGGTCGATTAGGATTAAAAGGTCCATAAAAGCTCCTGTAAGGAGTGATAATGAAAAGGGTGGGGAAGCACTAAAGACAAAGAGTATAAGTAGATATTTCAGAAATCGAAATTAAAAAGTATTTCGGCTAGTTTATACCCTTCCATCAGAGCAAAAGGGGAACACAACAGCTTGTGACTGTTTGCCAGCCATCGCGGGGCTACATGAAGCCTGCAGCCGTGAGCTAGGTAGGGCTCCCGTGGGGGGATTAGTTTGAAAGGTCGTCTTCTACAGACAGTTCACAGACGCCCCCGTGAGTCATTAAAACATTGAGAAGCACTGAATCTTAGGTATATCAAAAAGGTCATCCTCTTTCCAATGACCGTCTCATGCTTTTCTAGTCCACGGAGCAGGTTTTGGAGGCTCAGCTCTTACATGAATTCCAGGACAGATAAATCCCAGATTCTAATTGTTGAAATAATAATGAGGGGCACCCCTGCTTATAGAATAAAGGGAACCCAACACCTCATATCTCCAGTTTGGGAAAAGGTTAAATATGAAGACTAGTATTCAGTCAAATCTTCATACTAATAAAAAGCAACAAGCATGGAGTAATTTTAAATCCTGCATATTTGGTTTTTAAATCTTAGTTGACTTTTTTTAAAAGGAACAGAGTGATCTTTTTTTTTTTTAACACAAAGTCTTTCAGAAAAGAAACAGGGTGATCTTGATTATGCTTTGGAAAGGTTGATAAAAACAGCTTGTTCTCTGAGAACACCCTCCAGACATAGGAAGAGTGGCTTGAAATAGGTGAGGTCAACTAAGAGAAAATGATCTGGGATCAGCCATTCACTTCAGATAATCCAAAAAGCAATGGTTAAATGGGTTGGTACAAGGACAGGGTTACAGTATATAAGAAAAGCATTAGCACAGAAAAAGGAGTCGTGTAAGAAAGTCGCCAAGGTGAAAGTCACGTTAAACAAGTGTTTTTCCCAAGGAAGAGACAGAACAGGAAATAGAGGTTGGGGTATGCCTTATTTAAAGGCCTGGAACACTCAGGCGAGGGTGTGTGTGTGTGTGTGTGTGTGTGTGTGTTGGGAATGGGGCTGGGGGGAGACAGGGTTGTGTGTGTGTGTGTGTGTGTGTGTGTGTGTGTGTGTGTGTGTGTGTGTGTTGGGAATGGGGCTGGGGGGAGACAGGGTTGAGTGACCCAAAGTAGAAAGTGGCTCTGGATCTCCACAGATGTTGCCTGAAAGTCTTTGAAGGATTTGAGTCATTTTGGGTGGTTGTGTCTTTTTCTCTGAAGAGAATTCCTCAGCCTATCCCTAGATTCTAAACTGAATCCGATTCACTTACAGCTGTCAGTTGACTAGCAACTAAATGGTCTGGGTGTTGGTTGCCATGGAAACAGCTAAAAGGCCCATTGCTATGGGAACCTACCAGGCTCTCCAAACCAGGGGTTTGGTTCCTAAAAAGGGGTGGAGGGGAGGGTGGAGACCAGGAGATGGCCTGCATAGGTGGCTCAAGGGTCCTGGAAGAGGGTGGGCAATGTGGGTGAGTGGATCCGGCCAGCTCCTCTCGACTGGGGCAGAAGAACAGTGACCTCTTCTACTTTCTGCAGATGTTCCCATGCCTGTTCTCTGCTCACTGCCCAATGCTAGCCACAGAGCACAGGTGTTTGCAGTTGCAAATGGAGACTAAGAGCCTGAGATTCTGGAGCAGACGTGGCATGTCAGTGTGGCTCCCCTCACCTGCAGGGGCTTGGAGAAGGACGGCTCCCTTCTAGCAGGCCGTCCTCCACAAATCATATGTCCCAGATAAGCAGCCAGCAGGCAGAAAGATCAGCTTAGCTCTGACTGCCAGTGGGTAAGGCCAAGAAGGAGCCTGGCAGACAAATGGATGGCTGCTGGCCTTGAACATGGCAGAGCTGCTGGGTGTGCCAGATCAAAAAGCAGAGAGCAGGCCAGCAGCAGCAGACTGTTCTCAGCGCTGGAGAAATGCATTGCTCTGCCCACTACACCCTCAACCATCCATATGCCTCTGCCACAAAGGGGGATACTGCAAATGGATCAACATAGGAAAGATGAGGTTTGATGGAGATTCTCAGTGTACACACACAATGCTTGTAAGATTCTTTTCTGTTTTGCAATCAAAGTAACTCTCACATTAGTGTTTAGTGGTAAGATGATTTTTTTACTAAAACAAAGAGAAAACATCCCAGAAGCTCTTCCATTAACCACTGTTAATGTGTAATGTACAAATTGAAGGGATTGGACTAATCACTAAAGCCTCTGTCAGGACTAACAGCTTATGATGCATTGAGACGCTGAAAGGAAGTTGAAGAACCACTGGCAAATGGACACAGATGAATCGTTTTCTAGTTACTCATATTGTGAGGGCGGGGAAAATCTCTGAACTCCAGAGAGGCTTAGGATGGAGACTAAGGCCAAGACATTTGCTTTAGAGACCATTTCAGATATGTTGGGCCCAGGAGACTTTCACTTGGTTCTGCAGAATTCTGAGATTTGTGATGCTGATTTTTTTTTCTCCTAATCTTGCCTTTTTCCTGCCTGGAATTGTTAGTCTCAGACCCTCCCAGGAGCTTCAGAGTCTAAGAGCCTGGCACCAGAGAAAGAGAGAGAGAGAGATGCCACTAGAACTTGGACTGCTCCACAGGACAGTTGAGCACTTCCCCAGAATCTGTGGGGAGGTTTTCACTTTTGGAAGCAGTAGTTGTTTACAGATTTCTGTAACATTTAAAATGTTAAATACAAGCTGGGTTTATATCTCACCTCCAACTTTTTCCAGCTGCTTGACTTTTGATGAGTTCCTTAACCTCTTAGGGCCTTAATTTCCTCAGCTGTAAAACAGGATGATAAGAATATACCCACCTCAGGTGGTTCTAATGATGACATGAGATGGGGGATGCAAAGTGCTCAGTGCAGTACCTGACGCATAATAAGTAGCTGAGAAAGGTCGTTAGTATTATTATTATCATCCTAGATAAAAAAGGAAGGTTGCAGCCATGGAAACTGCTCAGTGGCCTAGAATCATAGGCATTTGCCATGCATTTGTCTTCCAAATTTAATTCCAGGTGCCTTTCAAGACTGATGGCCTCTCTGATGCCACACTCTGGTTTGCCTTCATTAAGCCAGATTCTAACCCTCTCTTTTTAAGACACTTAACCACATTCTTTTTCATGTATGATTTTTATGTGTCTGCTTACCTTCCTACTAGACTGTAAACATCTTGAGAATAGAGACTACCCTTTCATCTTTCAATAAATGCCTAGACCTCAGCAATTGTTTAATGAATTTTTTTAATAGGGAAAAATGTCTTTTTTCTGTAGGTCTTGGATCAGACCATTTAACCCTATAGCAGCCTTGTCTCCAAAGGGAAGAAAAGAGTAACAGTGGGCTAGGTTTCATTCTCCTGAAGAAGGGCACGGCATTGCCTCATCCTGAGTGGGCAGCTCCAGAGCAGGGCCAGGGCTCACATCTTCTAGAAGCCAGCTGTCATCTGTCTGTAAGATTCATTGACACCAGCTTGTCTCCAGCCTGAAGGCTCCCTGGCCCTGGGCTCAGGCAGAAATGGCTCCTCCTCCCCTCCTGGCTGCTGTCTGTCTTCAGTTCAGCCTGCCTCTCCCTCCTGATTGCTCTGGCTGAAGCAAGAAGCCATGAAGATGGCTCTGTAGCTGCAAGTTGCATCAGGTTGCCTCTGGGAGAAAGAGAGAAAGCAGACCCGGCTTATGCAACTCTCTCTCCCCATACACTGAATCTCTGAAGTTCCTGGCCAACCCCCTCAGCTTCCCACCAGAGTTTGCCAAGGCTTGGCTTGGCAGGAACAAGGCCCAAAGAGCTACACAGAGCATCTCCCAGACAGTGGCCACTGAGAACCATCTCCTGTCAAGGTGGGTAACAGAGAAATTTCTGGGGTAGGGAGTAAGGCAGGGGAATGTAGGAGAAAAAGCCTCCAGGCCTGACTGACTTGCCATGGGACCATGGATCAACCATTTAACCTCTTTCAGCTAAATACCTCATAGAGGTGTTGTGTAGACAAAAGGAAACAATGGATGTGCATGTGTAGCTTGGAAATACAAAGCCTATTCATACTGGGAATATTAATATCATAGGCTAGTGCAGAGGACTAGCAGTTAATCCGTTGGATTTTCCTACTTAGATCCCATTGGCTTGATGAGCTGTCTGGGCACCCTCACAGAAAACCTCACAAGGAAAACAAGGTCCCAGATTTGGTCACCAGAAGAACAAGGTTGAGACTGACTCAGTGAATGCCTTTCTTTGACTGCAAAACAGGACTGTAATGCAGCTGGCTCTCCTGAAATGTTGGCTTCTAGTTCCGAGGGTATAGGAGGCCTAGGCAGCTGTACACTTGTGTCATCCTGATCATCATGAAGTCTGGTGGAATTTATATGGACAGGACAGTATGCATTCCTTCAACCAATACTTACTGAGCACCTATTATGTGCCAGGCACTGTGCTGGGCACTGGGAATGAAAAAATGAGTAGGGCATGGTCCTTGCCTTCAAGGAGCTTAGAGTCTAATGAGAGAAGCTAGCAGCAAACCATCACTGCAATCCAGTGGGACAAAGCCATGATAGTCACATGTACAGAATGCCATGGCAGCAAAAAGGAAGAGTACTGAGGTGATTTGCTCTGGAAGAGGCAGAGCCAGGTCAGGCCTCTGCTTAGAAAGTGGCTGGAAATGGAGACACTTAATCATGTACTAGGTCTTTATTTATCCATCATTCATTCAGCCAACATATCTTCTGAGATTTTTTGGAGTATTTATATATTTATTTATTTATTTTTGAGATGGAGTCTCACTCTGTCGCCCAGGCTAGAGTGCAGTGGCATGATCTCATCTCACTGCAACCTCCGCCTTCCGAGTTCAAGTGATTCTCCTGCCTCAGCCTCGTGAGTAGCTAGGATTACAGGCGCCTGCCACCACACCCTGCTAATTTTTGCCTTTCAGTAGAGACGGGGTATCACTATATTGGCCAGGCTAGTCTTAAACTCCTGACATCAAGTGATCCATCCACCCGCCTCGGGCTCCCAAAGTGCTGAGATTACAAGCATGAGCCACCGCGCCCAGCCTGGAGTATTTCTTACGGTGAATTTACCTCCTCCTGCATTACTGGTCTTGGTTAATTTGGTTTTATTTAAAGTTCCTCCTACTTAATTTACTCTGGACCTGAGTAAGCATACTTGGTGATGTCCCGACCCTAGTGTATACCCAGCTGTCATGATCTATTTGGATTTTAGAATTCCGCCCCCCTCCTCTGACTCTCCAGCCCACATTACACCACTTCTTTCTCTGTCTTTGCTCTAGCCACATCAGTCTCCTTTCAATTCCTCAAATTGGCTGTACTTCCTTCCTCCAGCCACAGGACTCTTACACATGCTGCTCTGCTGCCTGAAATGCTGCCCCACAACCCCTTTTCATTTAGTTAACTCCTACTCATCCTCATTTCTCCTGCAATGTCCCTTCCTCCAGGAAGCCCTCCCTGACCACCTCCCCCAGATCAGATCAAACACCTTGCTATACATTTTCATAGCACTCTGCTCTCTCCCTTCATGACACAATTCAACACTATATACTGGTATAATTATTTGATCAATGTCTGGCTTTCCCAGTCCCTTGAAGGCATCTTTGGGAGAGACAACATTTCCATTTTGCTCATCACTGTATTCCCACTGTCCAGCACAGCTATTAGTCCAAGGAGCAGATCTATATGTGGTTTTTGAGATAATTAATTAATGGAATGATTAACTATCTTTTTTGGGCCACCATTTGCCTTGGGCCTAAATGGTTCTGTGTTCAAAACTAAAACAATGCCAAATGCAAAAATAAGGACCAGAACCAAACAGGGAGCCCCTGTAAGAAATGTGCAGAAAGAAGGTAAAAGCCAGGGGAGGGGTGTCCCAGACCAGAAGGCATGAAGGACTAGAGGGTGAAGAAAGGAAAAATGTAGAGGGAGAGAGGGAGAATTCCAAGGCCCTGGTGTCTTACACCTCTCTGGGTTTTGAAATCAATAAATAGGTATTGAGTATCTATAACTCTGATTCTCAGGGGTACTTGTGTTCCTTGGGTGTAAGATAGTATGCCAGGGATACAAAAGATGGGATACAATTAGTCCGTTTTCCTGCTGCTCCAGTGTTATAAGTAGAACTTGAGGAGTATGAGGTTGGGGAAGAAGAGGATCATTTTATATCGAAACCAATACCAATATAGAGTCGATAATAAATTTCGTATGATTACAAAAATTCATCTGAGATTTTAAATATGTTAACGCTATGACTTCAGTGGTAGTTCAGGAAGAGAGTCAGAGAACCATGGGTACCTCCAAAGGATCCTGTATGAATTGAAGTTTTGAAAATCAAATAATATTAGAAACACATGGAGGACACACTCTTTAGAGACAGAACTCTTGCTCATTTTTGTACCACCCACCATTCCTATAGTGCACAATGCCCTGGGTGCACTATAGTTGCACATTAAATGTTGAATTGAATCCATAGCAAACAACTCACTCTTAGTTCGGTCTGTAAATTGTGAGGATTTGTGTGTGTGTGTGTATGTGTGTGTGTGTGTGTGTGAGATAGGGTCTCACGTTGTCACCCAGGCTGCAGTGCAGTGGTGTGAACACAGCTCACTGCAGCCTCAACCTCCCAAGCTCAAGCAATCCTCCAGCCTCAGTCCCCCAAGTAGCTGAGATTTCAGGTGTGTGCCACCACACCTGGCTAATTTTTGTATTTTTTTGTAGAGACGGAGTTTTGCCATGTTGCTCAGGCTGGTCTCGAACTCCTGGGCTCAAGTGATCCACCCGCTTCAGCCTCACAAAGTGTTGTATTACAGGTATAAGCCACCATGCCTGGCCTGTTAATTAGACTTTATTATCAAGATTCCTCTGCCGGCCACTCCTCCAGAGAGAGTTGGAACTACTTCCGTGTCTCTCTGCAGAGGATCGAGAGGATCAAGCTCTGCAGGGTGTTGTGTCTAAACTACTCCAGGATGGAATCGTGAGGGAGGTGATGGGGAGGTTACCAAGAGTAAGATGAAAGCAGAAAGTACGAAGAACATTTAGCTTCCAGCGATTGCCTAAAGGAAATTATTCTCTAGTTTCTCTGCAGGTTTCCATTGTTATCTGTGTTTATCTTGACTCCAGGAGCAACTGTGAGCTCCTTGAAGATGGGGCTGTGTCCGTTTTTAACACTAGGCACCTTGAAACCATGCACAACAAATACTTGCTCACTGTCCGGCCCAGGGAACCCCTGAGATCAGCGCAGATAAAGTCTTGGGAAAGATAAGCATCCAAACTGCAAAGCCCTAAACAGTGAAGTTCTCAGAGGCAGGCAGTAGAAGCAGGATGTTGGAAAAGCTGACGTCTGAGGAAGACCAGTGGGTCCTTTCTCTTCTCTCCTAATCTACCTAACAAACTATTGCGCTGAGCCTTGAAGAGCAGCAGTGGTGATAGGAGAGTGATTACAAGGATTGATTTTCAGCAGGGGCTGAGATGGAGGAGACAGTGTTCTCAGACTTAATCACTGCTTTTAACTCCCCCAACATAATCTCTAATGGTCCCTGGCTGGTGCCACTCGGAGCCTCCATCCCCAAACCCGTGCCACTCTTCCTTCCTGAGCAAATCCTTCCAGCTTCTCAGCAAGTCTGTGGCTCAGCTCTATGCCTACCGCCTTCATTTCCAATGCATTGTGTCCCTATTCATTCAGTATCCAGGGAAGGAGAAGGAGTGAGGTTGCTTCTGCAGTCTGGATGTTGTTTCTAGAGTGTATCCAGTCAACCACCCCAGGAGCAGCTCTTAGATGAAGGGACCAGACCCACAGGCAAAATGTAGCAAGCCAAGGGTTCTGGGTGACAAATGCTTTTGAGATGCCATCAGGCAGGGATGTGGCTTGGAAGCAGGGGCCAGGCTGCACCCATGTCAGGAAAGGGCTGGAAATAAGTCAAATAGAACAGAGTGAAAAAACAAGAATCATCAGCAATTTTTTTTTTTTTTAAAAAGGGAAGGTAGAAGGCCAAGGGCACAGAGACTTGTTGCCAGAGAAATTAGAGGTGAGTACAAGAACTCCTAGACAATGCCTTTCTCCACTTCCTCCTGACTGCATTTTCTCCTTTCGTGACTGCATTTTCTCCTTTTCTCATAACCTTCTCGATAAATCACCTGCAGGTTGTAACCATGTTGGCTGCACCCACTTGAAATTGCAATCTGGCAGCCCTAAGATTGGCATTCCGGGACTGTCTTTGTCACGAAAAGCAGAAATCCTGTTTATTTCTGTAAATTAATTGCTGGCAGAGAGGGTTTTCATTTTCCACCCAGAACAATAAGCAAAGAAATTCCAGGGTTGGAAAGCACCTAAAGGTTACTGTGGGTTAAGTTGCCAGACTTAGCAGCAAAAACACAGTGTTCTTGGCATCTCTGAATTTAAAGCCACAAAATAGGTCAGAACTGTGTGCTGAGCTCAGTCTGTGAGCATAAGTAGCCCCTGAGCCTTTATCCCTTAGCAATGAGCAGGGAACACAAACAATCAAAACCACCCTTCAGGCGACAGGTGATGACCTCTGCACCTCATCTACAACTTCAGGCGATGCCTGCTGCAGTCTAGGGTTAGAGGAGAAAGCCATGTGGCCACATTTTCTTCTTCTTCTTTTTTTTTTATTATACTTTAAGTTCTAGGGTACATGTGCACAACTTTCAGGTTTGTTACATATGTATACATGTGCCATGTTGGTGTGCTGCACCCATTAACTTGTCATTTACATTAGGTATTTCTCCTAAAGCTATCCCTCCCCCCTCCCCCCGCCCCACGACAGACCCCGGTGTGTGATGTTCCCCACCCTGTGTCCAAGTGTTCTCATTGTTCAATTCCCACCTATGAGTGAGAACATGCAGTGTTTGGTTTTCTGTCCTTGCGATGCTCAGAATGATGGTTTCCAGCTTCATCCATGTCCCTACAAAGGACATGAAAAGGCTCTGCAATGTGTCACTGTCATAAAGCTTACTGCAGCCACTGCACTGGGTGCTGTCCTGCCATCTTCTAGACACCAAACCTGACCTGGTCCTCTTCCTACACAATGAGGCTGCAGTCGGTCTGCAGCCCATATAACCTCACCATGGGGAGCCAGTGTGTATGGCCCCTTTGGGAAGGATGACCCCCAAGGGCCTTGACAGGACGCACAGACACACACTTCACACTGCAGAGATACCAATCCTGTCATAGACCAGAAGGTGTCCAAGCGAAGGGAAGACAAGATACAGTGAGGTTATTTGGGGAAGGGTTCCTGGAGGGGAGGAGATAGACAATTATTCAAAGGCTAGTTACTTGATTTAGCAGAGATAAAGGGTAGGACATTGAGGGTGGTGGGTGAGGTGATGGTTTGGAAGCAGGAGGAGGTAAAGCTATCTACAGAAAGGCCATGTCCTACAAGACTGGTGTGTGGGATGGTTGGGTCAGTGGGAGGTGAGTGGGCCCACGCAAGTCCTCGATGAGTAACTCAGGCATGATGTGGGATGCACACCTGAGCACACAGCAGCAGGTTTCCAAGCAGGGGGATCGTGATCCCACTGCAGTGTGTGTGGGGGAAGAGCTGGGCCTGAGAGGCTGGAACACAGGGTCCATGCAGGAACATTTGCCTTATTGGGAGTTCATTGCCAGAGGGTGGCCAGGATAAAGGTTGAGGGAAAAAAGGAGTGGGAGGAGAATGTCCCCGAGAAGGGAGGTAGGAAGGTAAAGGGAAGGTCAAATGAGGGAGAGACAGAGGCCCTGGCCTTCCCAGATGCAAATCCATAAGAGCAGGAAGAAGAGAGCCCAAAAGTAGCAAAGAGCAGGCCGCTAGACCCCAGCCTTCTGGCCACGAGTAATGCCTGCGAAGCAGTTCTACTATTTCAAAAGAAAAACCTTCACATCTGTCATCAGATTGGATTAGAACATCTTTGTGATGGAGGCAAAGTCAAGGGTTGGCTCTTTGTGATGGAGGCAGAGTCTCCATCTGACAAGGGAGGAAATGGAGGCACAGGGGGCTAAAGTAACTCTCCCAAGGTCTAGTCACACCCCATTCCTTTCATAGGTCAGGCCAAGAGAAAGAACAAGGAGTTTGGCGGGCCCAGCTTCCCTCTGCACAGGGAGCCTTCCTGCCTTGCCAATGGCGTCTTTCCCTGGGCTCCATGGATCTCACTCTAAGCTGCACCCAGATCCCCAGGATGCTAGGCCACTAGATCCCCCCGGACCTTGGGACCTCAGACAAAGGCCTGCTGTGCCATGGGGTCCTGCCACCTTAGGATGGACAGGGGATGGATGGATCCGACTCCACTTCCCTCTCCTGGCACCTTTCTCTGAACTGTGTCTGCCTGGAGTCTCCTCTCCAGCTCCACGTCAGTTCCACTCACTTCTCCCCTGGGCCTGGCTGGGGGTTTGGGTCACACCCCCCATCAGCCCCTTTCAATCCATGCTCCTACTGCCCTGCCAGGGCTTCCCCCCAATCCCTCCTCATCCTTTCTTGGGCACTTCACTTTCTCTTATTGGAAAAAATATTTGGCTGAATGGGAGCTTGCCAGTGTTTTATTGCTCAGATAAGGGATTTTCATATCAGTCCTGGTGAGAAGCAGTTGATGGACTAGTCTTGCCACCTCCTGCAAAAGGCAATTTCATTTGGCCAAGTCTGAATGCACTTGGGAAACTGAGCTGCTCTGGGGGTGGAGGGGAACTTCATAATCTGAGCCCCCTGCCCCCTCTCCTGGGGCTGAAAAGGTACTGAGCATCTGCCTAAGGTAGGTGGGAGCACAACTGACTTGGACATTGCCCCTTCTCAGCCCTCGTTTTAGGACCTGACTCCTAACTCCACCCCCAACCAGGACCCTTATGCTGGAGAGGACAGGGTGGGCGACACTCAAGCTTCTGAAAGGAAATAATAGGCTGGGCGCAGTGGCTCACACCCGTAATCCCAGCACTTTGGGAGGCCAAGGTGGGAGGATCACTTGAGCCAAGGAGTTTAAGACCAGCCTGAGCAATATAGCAAGACCCCGTCTCTACTAAAAATTTAAATTTAAAAAAATTTTAAAGGAAATAACACGGTGACCCATTAATGAGAAAAGTGTGAGAAAACTGCATTTACACAGAATCCCACCTCTCCACCCAAAGCCAGTAACCTGGAAACATTCTGCAGTCAACATGGCCCAAGGAATTTCCCCTTGTGAAGTGTGAGGGGTTTCTGAGGGAGAGGAAGGAAGGGTAAAATCTGAGGGTCTTCATTATTCCTGTCTCCAGGAAAACTTGTGTTAATTCTGGTGTCGCCCCTGGAGCCATCCACAGCAACCCAAACATTTCCAATGTGTGATTGAGCAATGGCTTCCAAGGGGCTCCAGAGTCAGAAGAAACCTTTAAGGTTGTTTAACCCAGTGGTTATCACACTCTTTAGCCACCGGACCTTTTGTCTAACGGAATTTTTTCCAGGAAGCTCAATGTTCAGGGTTGATACCAATGAGCAGCCGTGATGGAAGCGGGAGGGGAGACCTGTGGAGCCATCACTTCCCTTCCTCCCAGCTCAAGCCCAGCAGCAGCCCCTTGTTCATGAAGGGGGAGGCTGGGGAGGAGATGTGGTGGTGGAGGCAGTGGTGATGGCCCTTGGAGGCAGCCTGAAAACCACTTATCTCGTCCCCTCTTACAAATGAAGAAACTGAGGCCAGGAGGGGAAGTCATTTGCCTAATATCATGCAGAGTTCCTTCAGGGTCCATGCCTTGGTCAATGGACCAATTGGCCCTGTTCTCATCCTTTCCCTGGGGCCTCTGCTCCATCTATGCATGGATGCATCCATTTATCCATCCATCCATCTATCCACCCACCCAACCAGTATCCATGGAGTTCTGTGCTTTCCATTGAACTGGTCACAGATGATTCTGTGATTATGACATGGGCCCTGCTCCTTGCAATCAATGCCACCTTCTCAGGAAACCTGGTAGCTGCAAATTTTTCCCACCCCCAGCACAAGACCCCACCCTGCCTGTCACTCAGGCTCCCGCAGCCAGAGCTAAAGATAGAATTGAGGGCAGCGTTTTAAGTCAGCAGCGCACAGACCTGGCTGGCCGAATGGGAAGGGGGAGCTAAGCCGAGTTAGGAGACCGCCTCAAAGCAGTCAGGCTGCGCTTCTCTGATAATGGACCGTTCCTATGAGACTGGCAGTAGCTGCTGCTGGCCTTCCTCTTGTGGAGAGATCCTTGGACCGGGCTGGTGGAGCTTTGGTCTGACACCTCACTCCAGGCTCCAGCCTTCCCTGACCTGCAGATAGATTCTGCTGGCTTTTTCTCCTCTGTACCCACTGCTCTGCTGACCCTAGGGCTTTGATTATTCCCAAAACCAGTGAAGACCCCACTTCTATGGATCTGTTCAGCCCTCATGCTGATGTTCACAGGTTAGGGTGAGGGCCAGGGGGAGCTGAAAGATGAGGCCCAGGGTTGGGGAGGTCAGGCCCTCCACTGGGAGTCCTGGGGCTTATACCCTGGGGGATTCTGCTGGCTGTCAGAACCTGGATGTTGCCTCCAGGGCTTTATGGAAGATGGGGTCACCCATCACCCACCCACCTATCTGATTTTCTCCTCCTTTCTCTGGGATACTTCTGTCTCTCTGCTGCTCCCTGGTGTGTGCCAACTGATGTTCACAAGCATCACACTTGCATGGCAAGGAAGTGAGAGGTGTTGGGGAGGAGAAACACCTAGATCTGTTCCTACTCCTGCCCAGAGCTCTCCACTCTCCAGGCAATGGTGGGGCCATTGGAAGAAAAGAGGGAGGAGAGGTAGGATGAGCCGGCTTGAGCTGCTCACTTAGAAATGTGCAATCGGCATGAAAGCTGCTTCCTTTCGTGTCTGGGCCTAACTGAACTCTGAATCAAGTGGGTCTCAAAAAGGTGGATCAGAGGTCCCCAGGAAGACAGCTTGCCCCAGGATTTAGCCCAAGTGATGAGACTTGTCCTGACCACTTTTAGCTTCTCCCCTCAGCACCTCATCAGCACCACTACTGCACCAAATGAAGTGTCAGAGACAGACACCATCCGAAGCCCTCCAGATGGGTGGTGGGCCAGGGTCGGCCATGCCTCCTGAATCACAGGGTTTGGGGAGAGTGCCCAGGGAGGAGCAGGCTGGAGAGCCAGTGGAGGCAGGTCTGCCCAGCATTCACCCTCTTCCCCACATGGGGATGATCCCTCCAAGAACCTGCTTTCCAGGTACAGAAATAGTATGGAAGGGTGGGGTGCGGGGGCTGGGGCTGCCACATGCTGCTTTGCCATGGGCATTCTGGGTAAGAATAATAATGAGGCTATTAATAACTCCTTACCTCTGTGTAAGTCTTAAAGACCTTTCTCAAGATGTTTTCACTGCCTGCACACCCATGATCTCATTCCATTTTCAAGACAACCCTGTGAATCTGTGGGACCATGGCTCCCATTTGGTAGAGGAGGAAACCGAGGGACAGGGAGGGGATTGTTACGTGCTAACCAGGCCATACTGCTAATAAGTGGCTGAGCAGGGACCGAAGCCCAGATTTCATGGGGTCATCTCTTCGGTTGTCCCATTGAAATGTGTGGTTCCAGAAAGCCGGAGTTTTCTGCTGGGTTATTCTGAAGCTGCCTCTGGGGATAATGTAGTACAGTCTCCCAGAGCAATGCATTTGTTCCCTAGGTCAATTAGTTAAGACTCATTTACCCAGCACTTCCACAACCTATACCCTGTGCCAGACCCGAAACAGCCATCAATGAAACATAGTTCTTGCCACCAAAGAGCTCACGGTTTGGCGAGGATTAACTGAAATCCTTAGATCATCTCAATACCATAGGATTCATTTAGGGACCAAGGTAGCACAGGGATGTGGGAGCACAGAGGAGGAGCCCTAAGCCAGCATGGGCGCATCAGGGAGGGCTTCCTGAAGGAGGTGATATACCAACCAGCTCCTTAGCCAAGGTTATTCCCCCTGATTGTGCCACTCTTCTAAATACCAACCTACACCCTTTTTCACTCCCTACCCACAACCCTACCCTCTGGCCTCTTTCAGGGCAGGTATAACCAAGCAGGAGTAGCTAGACTGCTTTGACCCTACAGGCCAGAACAAACCCATTCTGCAGCCCAAGGGTTGCCACGGTCAGACCCCATTGCTGGAAATGGACAAGGAATTGGTCTCTGAGCCCAGCTCTACCTCAGACTTGCTGCTTATGCCGCAGTGTAGATCCTGAGGCTTGGTGAGTTGCCCGGTTCATCAGCCTACCCTTAGTTCAGTCTACCCAACAATCATCTCAGATGTGCAGAAACCTAGCCTACTTTCTAAAGCAGGCTGATCAGGTTGCACGTTGCTCTAGCTAATTTCTGGCATTTAATGCTTCTCTTCCCTAACCTGGATCTGTCATTTCTGTCATGACTAAAACTTAACCTTTTTCTATTTTGTTGTTAAAGGAGACAGAACAGTCGGTCATATTTCTTAAGGCAAAGGGCCCCCTTAGGCTTGAAAACCATAATCAAATCACCCCTTAGGCTTCTCCATCTGAGGTTGATGGATCTCAGTTGCTTTCCTCATTAATTACAGCTGTATCCTTATTTCTTCTTAAGGCCTCTCCCCTCGTCTTTTAGCTGAGGTATCCGAGACCGCACAAAGAGTAGCCTCAAAGTGCTGATCTGAACTGACGACAGTGGGAAGAGGGCAGGAACCATGAGACAGTCTATGGGGCTGGCATGGAGAGTTTGGTGTGCAGGAGTGGCAGAAGACAAGGTTAGCAGAGGCCAGATCATCCCAGCCTCATCCACCATAGGCAAAGAAGGGACACTCTGCAGAACCCTGAGCTGCTCCAACCCTTCAGGGATGGACAGATAGTAAAGAGAAGCTTGTGACTACAGCCATGGAGGGGCAAAAGGCAAAGGAACTCCAGGAGCCTGTGAGGGCACAGGAGCCAAGGAAGAAGTGTTTAGCTAGGGAGGGAGTGCCCAATGTGGAGTGTTGCAGGGAAGCCACATATGATAAGGACTGAGAAGTGGCCATTGGATTTCAAAACAAGGAAGTTATTGGAGACCCAGGGAGAGCAGTCTGAATGAAGAGAGCAAAATGTGGAGGCAGGCAATGTGCACGACTCTCTCAAGAAGTCCGGCTGTGAAGGAAAGTGGGGTTGCCAGCCTCCAAATGTCCCCCATGATCCGACATCTTGGTATTCTCAGCCTTGTTAGTTCCCTGCCACATTGTATTGGAGTTGGTCTGTGTGCCCAGTAGAAAACAGCAGAAGGGATGGACTGTCACTTCCAAGACTCAAGTACAGTTGCTCCTTGACCCATGAGGGGGTTACATTCCAATAAACCCATCATAAGTGGAAAATATCATAAGTCAAAAATGCATTTAGGCTAAGAATAATGGCTCATACCTGTAATACCTGTAATTGCAGCACTTTGGGAGGCTGAGGTGGGAGGATTGCTTGAGTTCAGGAGTTCGAGACCAGCCTGGGCAACATAGTAAAACCCTGTCTCTGTAAAAAATACAAAAATTAGCCCAGCATAGTGGCACACACCTATAGTCCTATCTACTTGGGAAGCTGAGGCAGGAGGATCACTGGAACCCAGGAGTTCAGGGCTGCAGTGAGCCATGATCATACCATTGCACTCCAGCCCGGGCATTTAACACACCTAACCTACCAAACTCATAGCTTAGCCTAGCCTACTTTTTTTTTTCTTTTGAGATAGCGTCTCATTCTGTCATTCAGGCTGGAGTGCAGTGGCGTGATCACAGCTCACTGCAACCTCCACCTCCCGGATTCAGGTGATTATCCTGACTCAGCCTCCCAAGTAGCTGGAACTACAGGCGTGCACCACCACACCTGGCTAATTTTTGTATTTTTAGTACAGACGGAGTTTCACTATGTTGGCCAGGCTGGTCTCGAACTCCTGACCTCAGGTGATCCACCCACCTCAGCCTCCCAAAGTGCTGGGATTACAGGAGTGAGCCACAGCGCCTGGCCAACATAGCCTACATTAAGCGTGCTTTGAACACTTATGCTAGCATACAGTTAGGCAAAATCATCCTGCAACACAGCACACCACAGAGTATTGATTGTTTTTTGTTTTGTTTTGTTTTTGAGACAGAGTCTCACTCTGTCCCCAGGCTGGAGTGCAGTGGTTTGAACTCGGCTCACTGCAACCTCCACCTCCCAGGTTCAAGCAATTCTAGTACCTCAGCCACCCGAGTAGCTGGGATTACAGGTGTGTGCCACCAAGACCAGCTAAATTTTTTTTGTATTTTTTGTTGAGATAGGGTTTCGCCATGTTGCCCAGGCTGGCCTCAAACTCCTGAGCTCAAGCAATCTTGCCCACTTCAGCCTCCCAAAGTGCTGGCATTACAGACATGAGCCACTGCACCCGGCCTTGTTTATTGTTTTATGTTTGTTGTTTTATGCTGCTAAATTTTGGGGTAATATGTTACAGAAGCAACAGAGAATGAAGGCAGGGAGACTGAGATAAGGATATGAGGACAAGGGAGAGGATTTTTGTTTTGTTTTTAAAGAGTGAATCTGAAACATGTTTAAATGCTAATGAGAAGAAGCCAGTAGACAGGGGAAAGTGGAAAATTAGAGAGAAGGGCATGGGAAATCAATTGAATGAGGTTTTCGGGCAGGTGGAAAGAGAGAGGGCCTAATGTACTTGAAGGTGTTAGCCTAAGTTTCTAGGAGGGACACCTGGATCCTCTCCCATTGTGACCAGAGAGCAAAGGAGGAAAGGACAAAATCTGTTTGGCAGCAGGATATTGATGGAATTTCTGCCAAATATCTTATTTTCTCGTGATGTTATCCACTGAGAATATGGAGGGAGATGTTGGGGAAGGTGCTGTATTGAAAAAAGTAGAGAAGTCTGAAAGAGCTAATGGCGAGCTCAGGAAACAGAAAATTCTGGGCAGAGAAAGAGAAAATTGGTGTGATGGACGGGCGCGGTGGCTCACGCCTGTAATCCCAGCACTTTGGGAGGCCAAGGCGGGCAGATCACCTGAGATCAGAAGTTCGAGACCAGCCTGGCCAACATGGAGAAACCTGACTGTGTAGTCCCCTCGGTCTCTGCAGCTGTGTGACTTTTCTCCAGTGGTGCCCAGCATGCTAGATATGGGTGCAGAAAAAGCAAATAATTGAATTCCCTTTGAGCTGGGGCTTATGCCAAAGGGGAGTCATGAAAAGACAAGGGGGCCACGGAGATGAGGCTGTTCGTATAAGAGCGATTAAAAGAAGCCAGGCACAGTTGCTCACTCCTGTAATCCCAGCACTTTGGGACACCAAGGCGGGCAGATCACTTTGAGCTCAGGAGTTCAAGACCAGCCTGGCCAACATGGTGAAACCCTGTCTCTATTAAAAATACAAAAATTAGCCCGGCATTGTTGGCCGGCACCTGTGATCCCAGCTATAGCTATTAATACATGGGAGGCTGAGGTGGGAGAATGGCTTGAACCCAGGAGGCGGAGGTTGCAGTGAGCCGAGACCACACCACTGCACTCCAGCCTGGGAGCCGAAGCAAGAGTGATTAGAAGAAATGGAACATGGGCCCAGGCTGGCCCAGGATGGAAGGGAAAACAGGAAGGGTCAATACGAGGAGAAAAGAAAAAGCCAAGGGTTTCTCAGTGGACCAGCGCTGTCACAGGCAGTTGTAGTTTGAAAGGCTGGGGAGAGCACGAAGTGCGTGGGGTTGTAGCCCGCCTGCAGGAAATTTGGATCTAACATTCCAGAGGTGGGGCAGCTCTGAAATGACCAGGTTCAGGAGGTGGCTGTGGAATGGGGGCCTACAGTAGAGTGACCAAGCTGGTGGGAGGGTGGGGTCCCTGGGGATGTGACATCATCCCAGATGATGATGACATTTAAGTTTGCAGCTGTTAATAGGGAAAGCGAGGTCTTCTGTGAACAAGACGGATCCACGGCAGCACCAAGAAGAACAGAGTGTAGAGTAGGTGGTAAGAGCCCCACTGGAACAGGGCTGAGACGGTGAGA